>NC_000015.10:93714005-93865520 GCF_000001405.40 Homo sapiens | reverse complement strand
GGTTTATTCAAAGTCCCATTTAGCAAGTGGCAGAGCTGAGTCTTGGATTCAGGTCTTACCACTTCTGGCCCAGTGTTGTCTCCACTATCCATGACAATGGACCGCAAACTTGCCTCATCTTCCTACCAGTCATCTGCTATCTGGGGACTGAAGAAACAGATGAAATGGGCGATGTTTTCTATTTCATCAAAAGAAAAAGATAACGTTGAAGTTTTAGCAATTGCATATACTTTCCAAAAGTGTAAAGACAATATAAAAATGCCTCATAAAACCACAAACTACACACTCAAAAATATCAGTCAATACCATCAATCTACTCCATACCCAGTCAAAGTCAAGGAAAGTTCACATTTTATGGGTAAACAAAGAGCTTTAGGGAAAGATTAAATCATCCAAAAAATTGGCCATATTTGGAGTTCAATCAATTTTAAGTTCTGTCTCTATCCCCCCAAAACATAGTAACATATTTTGATACTTTTTCTTCCAAGATTCCTCAGAATAGTGGCTCCTACTCTGGAAGCATTTCACTTTGCGCTAATCCAGTGTTTCATAATGTGTGGTCCATGAAAACTTTGTGTATATTCTAAGGATCTAGGATAGGAACAGAAGGGGAGGATGGTGTACTCGTTAAAAGTTCAGATTCCTGGGCCTTGCCCCAGACATACTTAATCCTAATTTCTGAAAGGTGGAGTGAGGGATGAGGTTAGAAGTAGTAATTAGCATAATTTTCCTTTTTGTATCTGCCTCTATAACTTCAGACAACCACCATGTCTTAGTCTGTTTTGAAATGCCATGAAGGAATATCTGAGGCTGGGTAATTTATAAAGACAAGAGGTTTATTGGAGAGAAAAGGAAATACTTATACACTGTTAGTGGGAATGTAAATTAGTTCAGCCATTGTGGAAAGCAGTTTGGAGATTTCTCAAAGAACTTAACGTAGAACAGCCTTTTGACCCAGCAATTCTGTTACTCGGTGTATACCCAAAGTAATATTAATTGTTCTACCATAAAGACACATGGACATGTATGTTTATCTCAGCACTATTCACAATAGCAAAAACATGGAGTCAACCTACATGCCCATCAACAGTGGACTGAATAAAGAAAACATGGTATATATACACCATGGAATACTATGCCACTATTAAAAAACAATGAGATCGTGTCTTTTGCAGCAACATGGATGGAGCTGAATGCCATTATCCTAAGATAATTCATGCAGGAACAAAAAACCAAATACCTCATGTTCTCACTTGTAAGTGAAAGCTAAACATGGAGTACACATGTACACAAAGAAAGGAACAATAGACACCAAAGCCTGCTTGAGGGTGGAGGATAGGAGGAGGGTGCGGATCAAAAACATACCTATAGATGCTATGCTTATTTCCTGGATGACAAAATAATCTGTACACCAAACTCCTATGGTATGAAATTTACCCATGTAGCAAACCTGCACATGTAGCCCCTGAGTACATGTTTCTTAACAACATAAATGTAACATTAGTCAAGCCAATACATATGTTTCTTCGGACATTAAGTAGTAGATAACTATTAGGAAGATGAGGCAAGTTCATGGCCCACTGTCACAACACAGTGGAGAAAACACTCCACTGGGCCTTTATTTCCCAACTAAAACAAAAGTTGGGAAGAAAAACAATAAGAAGAAAGGTTTGTTTGGCTCATGGTTCTGTGGGCTCTACTAGAAGCATGGCAGTGGCATCTGCATCAGGTGAGGCCTCAGGCTGCTTCCACTCATGGCAAACGGCAGAGGAGAGCTGGCTGTGCAGAGATCACATGGTGGGAGAGGAAGCAAGAGAGGGAGAAATAGTGCCAGGCTCTTTTTCACAGCTGTCTCTCATGGGAACTAACATGGTGAGAACTCAGTCACTCCCTCCCCTCAGAAAGGGCATTCATCTATTAATGGGGATCTGCTCCTACTACCCAGACACCTCGAATTAGACCCCCTTCCAACACTGGAATCAAACTTCAACATGAGGTTTGAGGGGGTCAAACAGCCAACCCATAGCCCAGCCTGTAGACACAAATGAGGTAACTTCAGTGCTTAAAACCCACTCTGCTAGACTGCAGCTTCCACGGGTACCCTCAGAATCTTTGCATCACCCCACATGACTCTAACTCGCCATGAATTTCAGTTATTTGGAGCATCATTGACAGCTGACAACCACTTCTCTTACGAGGTCTTTATTCTGGTCTTCACATGCTATGCCCACTCCCACAAGGCACCGTAGATACATTTGGTCAAACCATCCCCCCCTGAGAACACCTCTGCTTTGAGCAAAATACCTGCTGCTGGTGCTCTCAGAGATGTGAGAAGCTCCAGGAGTCCCAGTGGTCCTGCACTGACTTTTGCCATCACCATACTGCAGGATTCATGCTGGGATCTGCTCGAAGTGGGGAGAAGGATCCTGTCTCTAGTCTGGGGTTGCTTGTTGTCACTTGAGCTCAGGCATTTTACTCCTTGTCTCTGATCTCACAGAGTCCGTTACATAAATGACTTCCTCAGCTTTCACCGCGCTCTTCCTTCCTCTTGGGCTCTGACGCAAGTCTGGGAACGTACTGTATTATTTGCCCGTAGCTCAGTCTCTGGCCCTGACACAACACCCCAGACACCCTCCTCTAAGTCTCCTTTTTCCCATGGACAGAACTCTGTCATACAGGCACATGGGTTTTCCATAACCTCAAAACTCAGCAGAAAGTCTGTGAATCCCAGTTATGGTGCCAGTGAAATATCCCCCTCCCTTCGTTTTCACTTGCAGGCATCCATTATTTTGAAAATTGCTTTGTGCCTCATATTCCCATTCCATTCACATATTCATTCCCACATAAATTTGGGAGATATGCATGACAAAATACTAACAGAAAAGGAGAAATAAAATAGAGAAACATAAAAGGGCAGAAACAACATTAAGGACATGAGAAAACTTTAAACAGGAACAATAGAGAAATGGGGAAATAGAACCAGAAATGCACAGAATAGACATGTGGGTAGGATAAAGCAATGAAGAAACACAAAAAGAGATATGGAAGACACAATCGGGTAATGATAATAATATTGGCTAATATTTATTGAGCACTTATGCTGCATCAGGCCTTATGCTATGTGCTTTACTTGCAAAATCTCCGTGAAGCACCATAATAACCCTATCAATAAACACTATTTGAATTTCCATTTTGTATGAGGCAGGTGAGACTTAATCAGTCTCGGAACTAACAGTCTGTGGCTTCCGCATCTGTGGTAAATCTGCTACCCTGATTCCCCCAAGCACTCTCCTGTACTCTGGCTACTCCAAGTCCTCCTCTGGGTCACCTCCTTTGACTGCTCCCCACTTGGCCTGTTCCCCTCCCTGCTTTCACATGATCCAGTGACTCAAAGCTGAGCGCCTGGTACAGCAGGAACTCCCAGTACCTGCTCCTGGGCTGTGCTGTCATCTGCTTGAACTGGTTGAGCCTCAACAATTTTATCTATTTTGACTATGACCCCTGATTAGAAGTTCAGTCAATTTTCCAGCTACAGTAGTCCATGAGGATACATTCCAGGCAACCCCCCTGCAGTGGTTGCCAGAAACCACAAATAGTACTGAATCCTATGTATATTATGTTTTTTCCTGTATATGGATACCTTATAATAAAGTGTAATTTATAAATTAGCCACAGGAAGAGATTAACAACAATTAATAATAAAATAGAATAGTTGAGTTAAATAATTGAGTACAAGCACTGCTGCAATACAATGGCCGCCGGTCTGATAACCGAGATGGCTGCTAAGTGACTAACAGGCAGGTACTGTCTACGGCGCAGACACGCCGGACACATGGATGCATCACGTCTCAGGCAGGATAGAGAGGGACAGAGAGAGATTTCATCACGCTACTCAGCAACAGTGCGTAATTGAAAACATATGAATTATTTCTTTCTGAAATTTTTCTTTTGATATTTTCAGACTGTGGCTGACTAGATAACTGAAACCACAGAAAGTGAAACCACAGATAAGGGGGGACTACTGTCATAAGTGGTAAGCTAGGTTTTGAACTAGGGCAGAGAGTTTCCTGGCAAGAATAAGGCCCCAGTGAAATATGATGAAAAATGATAGTAATGATGAACTGAAAATTTTTTAAAACTTTAAAATGGTCATTTGATGAATGATTTAAAAAGTAAAGGGTCAGAGAGGGTCAGGCAGGAACTGGAAAATGAGCATCGACTGCCCCTCCTCCCATTTTGTCCAGTGAAAAAACTGAGGCCATGGTCTTCCCAGTCATCTCATTGGGCATGCCCGGGTTGGGGATGGCCAGGCTTCACATCTCTGCTCTCTCCAGCATTGGGAGGATTCTAAAATGATTTTCCACAGGATGCTGATAGTCAATGGCAGCGACCATGATGGTAATACACTAGAAAAAAGAGCAACTGAAGAAAATGCAAATATAGCGGCAAATGTGCTTAAATTAAGGCAACAGCAATAAAAAAAACCAGAGGTAGAAAGTGTTAAGCCTTAGTTACCGCACCAAACAATTGACATGCTTCCTACCCACCCTCAGACCTGGTTGTTAAATGCAAGCTATACATTATGCAGACCCGATAATGAAAATCTACATTCCATAATTTGCAACCTGCTGGCTCTGTTATGCCAAGTGCATCTTAAAGAAGGCATCTTTCAACCTAATTGCATGCAATTTTTCCCCATTCTAATTGTGTTATGAAAATACCACTATCTCATTCAAGCACAACCAGATCACTTTGCTTTTCCCCTAAAGCACACATCAGTAAAGCAAAACAAAACTGACGACTTTCTATTTTGCTATGCACCCAGGAATCCCAAATCGAAGTGTAATGGTTACTGACAAGCACTTTTTTTTCTGTAAGCCTCCAGGTCAGATGTTGGGAGATTTTTCTTGTTTCCAGGGTTAGGATTGCAAATAATAGCAACCTACACACATAGATAAATGTCTCAACCAAGGGTGATTTTGTCCCCCGTCTTCCTCACTCCTCAGGGACATTTGGCAAATGTCTGGTGGCATTTTTAGTTGTCATATCAGGGAGGAGGGTACTTGTATGTAGTGGATGGAGGCCAGGACTGCTGATAAATATTATACAATGTTCAGCACAGCCCTTCCACAAAAGGAAATATTCTGCCCAAGGTATGAATATTACCAAGGTTGAGAAACCCTGGAGTCTAAGGTAATGTTAAAGGACATTTGGTTAAACTCACCTATGGTAACACATTGATTGTACCCTTGTGTGTGTCAAAGAGTTTTAGGCCAGGCACAGCGGCTCACACCTATAATCCTAGCATTTTGGGAGGCCGAAGTGGGTGGATCACAAGGTCAAGAGATCGAGACCATCCTGGCCTACATGGTGAAACCCCGTCTCTACTAAAAATACAAAAATTAGCTGGGCATGGTGGCACGTGCCTGTAGTCTCAGCTACTTCCAAGGCTGAGGCAGGAGAATCGCTTGAACCCCGGAGGCGGAGGTTGCACTGAGCCGAGATTGTGCCACTGCACTCCAGCCTGGCGACAGAGTGAAACTCTGTCTCCAGAAAAAAAAAAAAAAAAGGGAAAAAAAGTTTTATTTGAAAAGACCACTCGTTCATGTAAATGAAATATATACTGTGTGCTCATCTATGGGAACCATAGCCAATTTCCACCAATGCCCTTGCATATGAGCTGTAGCCCCAGAGACCATGATTATCTTCTCCACTTGGAAGGGTAGAACTGATTAGTGCCAGAGCATGGGTCTGCCAGGGCAAAGGTAGCCTATTCAAGTCCTCCAACAGCAAAAATGTCAAAGAGTTCGTGGCAAAAAATTGTCCTTGGAGAGCATCGAGGAGAAGAAGTCAATATCTCAAATTCAAAAGAGTGGGAGAGTCCAAAGATGAGCCGCAAGGCTGAGGGTCCCGAGAATAATCAAACCAGTGAGAACAGTCTGCAGCAATAAATGGACATGTTGCTGCAGGAAAGGGGTCTGCCAGGATATAGCCGGGTAGCTGCAGGATATCCTCGTTGGATTCACACACACAAACACACACACAATCATGTTCTGCATAACAATGTTGTAGTCAACAATGGACTGCACATACAAAGGTGGTCCCATAAGATTAAAACAAAGCCACAAAATTCCTATCAATAGTGACATCATAGTCATTGTCGTGTCACAACTCAATGCATTACTCACATGTTTGTGGTCATCCTGGTGTAAACAAACCTACTGTATTTTCAATTGTAAAAAAATTATAGCACATGCAATTATGTGCAGTACATAATAATAAATGGCTATGTTACTAGCTTATGAAATAAATACTATACTATATTTTTCATCATTATTTTAGAGTGTACTTATAAATAAGTTATTTTGAAGCAGCCTCAGGCAGGTCCTCCAGGAGGTATTCCAGAAGAAGGCACTGTTATCACAGGAGATGACAGCTCCGTGTGTGTTTTTGCCCCGAAGACTTTCCAATGGGACAAGAGGTGGGACAAGAGAGTGATATTGATGATCCTGACCCTGTGTAGGCCTAGGCTATTGCGTGTCCATATCTTCATTTTTAACAAAAACTTTAAAAAGTAAAAAAAGAGATTTAAAAATAGAAAAAAGCTTTAGAATAAGGATATACAAAAGAAACTAATTTTGTACAGCTGTACAATGTGTTTGTGTTTTAAGTGTTATTACAGAAAAGTCAAAAACTTTTTAAAACTTAAAAAGCTTATAAAGTAAAAAGGTTACAGTAAGCTAAGGTTAACTTATTATTAAAGAAAGAAAAAAGTTATAAAGGTAGCGTGGCCTAAGTGAACAGTGTTTATAAAGTGTACCGTAATGCACGGTAACTTCCTAGGCCTTCACATTCACTCACTACTCACTGACTCACCCAGCGCAACTTCCAGTCCTGCAAGCTCCATTCATGGTAAGTGCCCTACACAAGTATGCCATTTTTTATATTTTATAGCATATTTTTACCGTACCTTTCTATGTTTAGATACACAAGTACCATTGTGTTACAATTGCCTACAGTATTCAGTACAGTAACAGACTGTACAGGTTTGTAGCCTAGGAGTAATTGGCTATTCCATACAGCCTAGGTACGGAGTAGGCTATGCCATCTAGATCTGTGTGAGTACATTCTGTGATGTTCACACCATTATGAAATCACCTGATGCACTTCTCAGAATGTATCCCCATCATTAAGCTAGAATAATATATATATATATGGATATATATATATATATATCCCATTATCTTTTGTCTCTACGCTCATTCAACTTGAACTGTTTCAAACTTTGGAGACTTACAATTATGCTGATTCCTTTATTTAATAAAAGAAAAAATTAAGCTCTCATGGCTCGTGGCTTTTCTTATTGCCACTGCATGGACTCTGAACCTCTGTCTCAGCCAGGCACGAGGAAGCAGAGAGGTGGTGAACTGAGAGCTGCAGGGTCTCACTGTTTTGTTCTAGATCAGCACTTTTTAAACTTTAGTGGGTGCAAATCACATGAGGATGTCATTAAAGTAAAGATTACAATATAGTATGTCTGGAATGAATCTTAAGATTCTGCCTTTTCAACAAGTTCCCAGCATATATGGTGTTGTTCTTCTGCAGACCCCGCTTTAAGAAAAAAAATTAGAAAGCTCTAGATCTTAATTCAAAACTCTTATTTTTTTCAACTTGGGGGTGGGAATGGTGGTAAGACAATTTGGCAAGATTTGGCAATAGGGACTGCTAGTATAATAGACTATTTCTCTCATCTATTCCCCTCTTCACCCCTCTTGACACACCCTGCCAGAATGCATGTGACCTTCCAGAAAGGAATTATGCTCAGCAAAATGCCCTGAGGTATTAAATAATGAACTAAAATATGACTCTTTTTTTTTTTTTCTGAGACAGAGTCTGGCCCTGTTGCCAGGCTGGAGTGCAGTGGCACCAGGACCAGGTTGGAGTGCAGTGGCGTGATCTCGGCTCACTGCAAACTCCGACTCCCTGGTTCAAGCAATTCTCCTGCCTCAGCCTCCCAAGTAGCTGAGATTACAGACACATGCCACCACGCCCAGCTAATTTTTGTATTTTTAGTACAGACGGGGTTTCACCGTGTTGGCCAGAATTGTCTCTATCTCCTGACCTCGTGATCCTCCCGCCTCGACCTCCCAATAAAATATGACTCTTAACAAATATAAAATGAATGTATGTAAAGATTTTCTTTAAGTAATGAGTGAACCAGTAAGATGTTACGATCAGTATGAGGGAGGATTCAAACAACACACACATCCGTGCAATCAGAAATGCTGAAATAAACAAACACAGAAGATGTCAATAGTTACTGGGCAATAATACATTTGATTCTACTGGACAAAGTTTATTTGCATTCCTAGGAAAAAGTCATTTGCATTCACATAAGCTTTCTACACATTACAGATTTATAAAATGGTTCAAAAGAAGTGCAGACCCCTATAGAATTAGGTAAAATGGAAAGGCAGCTAAAGAGGACACCTAGTAATTATTTTATCCATTTCAAAGTCTTTCCACAATTTTTCCTGACAGAGATAACACTTTAGGAAGAATATCCTAAGTTAATTGAGAAGCCATATGAGAAATAATATAACTATTGCCCCCAAACTAGCCCTGTCCTCTTATCCCCTCCTAACCACACACTAGCCGGCATCAGGAACCAGGACATAATCAGACAGCTCCTTTCCCGTCTCTCCTTTCCCAATCATACAATGCACATGCCACCTGTTCACCATTTTTTTCCACCCCTCACCATCCCATACCCACATAGATGTTCTCTTTCCCATTCTCCTAAACTTCCTCAAATATTCTTTCTAGGAAGGCTTATCTCAAATATCATCTCCTCATTGAATAACAATAATGATGATAATAAAAGCCACTAATTGATTCCTTAGCTCTTTAGCTCACCACCTCACCTTCACAACTATCCTCAGAGGTAAGCTGTTATCATTGCAATTTTACAGCTGGGGAAACCAGAGCTGAGAGAGCCCGAGCCTTTTTCATAAGGTCACAAAACTATTATGAGGTGGTAAATGCTTTACTACCATGAAATAAAAAGATTTCCTCTCTCTTAGAGCTTTAGCACTCTGTCCATGTGCTCACTTAGCTTTTTTATCACATACCACGTATGGCTGTTTGTCTTCTAGCTCTCCCATTTCTTCTTTATCATCTTTCTTTGCATAACCACAACCTCCCTGCCTCAAAGTTACCTGTGCCTCTGCTCCTCATGAGAAAGCAGATAGCATGTCCTATCCATGCATGGGTCCATATACAGGGTAAGCTTTTACTAAATAGAACTGAAAGGTGAGTTTTATGACAATATAAACACAAATATATTTATGTCATTATATTCTCTTTTGTACATTACCTGTAGCAAATTATCATGTAGGTATTCAATAATATTTTCTTCAAATTTGATCTCCAAGGGAAATTGGAAAAGAAAATCAGAATTTCTAAAACACAATTCCACAGGAAGAAACACTTTTTAAAAATATTTAATTTTAAAATTAAAGACAGGTTTAGCTGCAGGCAAAGTAATCAGCATGACGAATGAGGATGGGTGATTTGGTCTCCTACTCCAACTTTGCCGTCTGAGTTCCCTGGGCTCTTAGAGGCTCAGAGTATCCCAGGCTGGACGGAGTCTGATAAACTCCGTGAATGTGTGTGCACTGTAAGCTAACAATGGAAGCACTGGCGTGGTGTCTTAGAAAGTATTCCTAATATCAGTACCTCTTACCCTCAAAGGACTTGTTCAGAGCCAAACGCCAGGGACTTAGGTAGAGGAAACATTTGAGAGGAGGAGAGTTTTTATTAAGTTTCCAAACTCACTCTATGTATGTCAGGTAATTTGACCTCATGTGAGAGGCAGCTGGCTGTGGGAGAACTGAAGTTTGGGCTGGGCTTGAATATGTTTCCTTCATACGGTGTGACCTTCCCCAAGTTATGCAAATCTTTGAGTCCCAATCTTCATGCTTAAATGAAAATGATGCCTGCCTGTTACAATTGCTTAAGGAATTAAATGGAGGTTTTCTCTATTTGCACGTGTGTGCATGTCACAATACACACAGAGAGAAACCACCAGGCAATGAAGGCTGATTCCATCCCTCCCCTGGTTAGTTCATATGATTTCTGAGCCTGCCAGAATTCCTTCCAGTGAAATGAAACTAAGGGAGAGAAACATCCCAAGGCCTGGATGCCTGGAAAGATTTTACCTAATGAATTTTCAGTTTATTTGTTATAAAAGTGAATTTGGTCTGATTGAAACAAAGTATTCACAGCTTTTCTGTGCTTTAAAATGTCATTACAAAAATGCAATTCTTTTCAAATATCTATTTTTAAACTTTATTTTCTAACTTCAATCTCAGGCCTTGATAAAAAAAAAAAAAAAAAGATGCTTAGTAATGTTTTGCCTTAGGAAATATTTTAAAAAGTTACTACCATAGGTTTATTTGACATCCAAGGACACATATATAAATAATTCAGAAGGTGGAAGTTATGGCAGAGGTCCATTTGTGATTAATAAGCCTAGAGCCTTATCAATAACATAATTTGAAGACTTTCAGCAATCTTCTACCGAATGCCTCCTATTCTCAAAGTAAACACATTGATCATGTAAATAGTGCTCTTTTTCTTTTCTAACTTGAGTGTATTTTTCCTCGCATTCAATGCTTTGAAGAGTAATACCTTCAGCCATGTAACAGGAGTTACTTTCTCCTCCTCTCCCTCTCTTTATCACCCTCTCTATCTCAGCAGGTATCTACTGCAGCCCCTTATATCTTTAACGTATTTATAGAATTTAACCCATTTTCACTATCAGTTTGGCCACTTATTCTTTCATTGATGAATATTTATTGAATCTATACCATGTTCAGCCAGTCTCTAAGATAGTTGGAATCCATCAGGAAATGAAACCCAAACGCCTGCTACCATGGAGTCTACATTTCAGCAGAGGACAACAGGACAATATACTTAATAATCGAGTAAATTATTTTACTATGGGAGAAGGTGGTAAGTGCTGTGAGGGAATAAAGAAAAAGTGGAGCTGGATAAGGAAGAATAGGAGTGCTGAAGTAGGTGGCGATTCAAATATGGTGGTCAATGTGACATTTGAACAAAGACTTACAGAAGGTAACAGAGTTCACTATACAGATAGGTAGGGAAAAACATTCCAGGCTAAAGCAACAGCTATTTCAAAGGCCTGAGGCAAGAATTTCCTTGCATGTTGGAGGCGGGGAGAGGGTGCCACCATGTCTGGAGCCAAGCGACAATTGGAGAGAGTCCTGGGAGATAAAACAGAGAGGTCAATGGGCCAGACTATGTAGGGATTTGTGGGCCATTGTATGGACCACATCTTTTGCTGTAATTAAAATGGGAACACTGGAAAGTTTTGTAATGGGCAGTGACATGAACTGACTCTGGCTTAGATTTCAAGAGGACCACTGGGGCTGCTGCCTTAAGAATAGCCTGTAGTGACACAAGGTCCTAAGCAGGAATCCAAATTAAGAGTCTGGTGCAATACTGCAGGCAACAGTCAAGGTGCCTAGGATCAGACATAGAGTTAGTAACAAGTATTTGGATCCTATTTAAATTGAAGCTTCCATCCTTGTATTATTGCAGAATGTCCCCCACCAGTTCTTCTCTCCAGTCCCCCACCCATTCCTCTTCCCACATATCCTTCTTGATGCCGTCTGCATGATCTATCCAAACCATAGTTCTGATTACACCTCCCCTTTGCCTGAGCATTCCTACAGCTCTCTAAGATGAAGACTAAACTCTTTAGACTGGTACAGAGAGTCCTACAAGGTGATGCCAGCTGCATCTCTCCATGTGCAGTTGCTGTGCTCCTCTCAGGCTCTTCCAGCCACCATAAGCCGTGGCTCCTTCCTCAAGCAGGCAGCACCCTGTGGGGCTTCTGTGTCTCTCTTCATGTTGTCGTCTCTGTACCATGTGCATATTTCTTCCTTCTCTAGCCAGAAGATTCTTGCTTCTCTGCCATATACAGCTTACATTTGCCAAAATAGAGAGACTGCCTCTCTTTTGTTCACAGAGTACTTTACATACATATACTAATTTCTAATTTTGTTTTTAAGACAGAGCCTCACCGTGATGCCCAGGCTGGAGTGCAATGGTGCAGTCTCAGCTCACTGCAACCTCCACCTCCCTGGTACAAGCGATTCTCCTGCCCCAGCCTCCTGGGTAGTTGGGACTACAGACACACACCACCATGCCTGGCTAATTTGTGTATTTTGAATAGAGACAGGGTTACACCATATTGGCCAGGCTGGTCTCGAACTCCTGACCTCAAGTGATCCTCCCACCTCAGCCTTCCTAAGTGCTGGGATTACAGGTGTAAGCCACTGTGCCGAGCCCTAATTTCTAAATTTATGTAGAAATTCTCTTATTTATCTTAATTATAAGTTTATTTGCCTTTTTTCCACTATAAACTGTACTTGCCTTAATGGCACAAAATACCTGTTGTTCATCTTCCTAATATAGAGTCCAACCTATGACTACGTAGCCAATAAAAGGGAATGAATCATTGCAGGACAGTATTTCCTGGCATCGAGCTCTGTGCACCAGAGACCACGCTGCAAGCAGATAGGAGCTGACTGACCTTAAGTGACTCTCAATCTAATAAAGTCAAGGCCAGAAATTTTGGTCTAGCAACACTAAAGCCAGTGATTTGGAATTTCAGGTAAGTTGAAAGTAATAATTTGATAAGCATTTGGGGATATTGAGTATCCCATATGATGGAATCAGGTTTCAAGCAAATCAAAAAACAAATGAAAAAAAACCCTACTTCACAAAAAGTATTGCCTGCCAGGGTTAATAATAATATTAGCACATTGGGGTGTGTGTGTTTGTGTTTGTGTGTGTGTGTGTGTATGTGTGCCTTGCTCTTGTTATTGCTATAGGAAATGATTCATTTTAGGCCATTTTTCCCTTTTATTATCATTTTTTGTTGATACAGTTAAGCACCAGAAGTGCAATACTTTCTGTGTTCTGAACATTGTGTTGAAGATTGCTGATTTTTTCAATTTTCTAAGAGTTTTGTCTTCCCAATTCTTATTGATTTGCCAGTCTATGAGACTGTGGATGAAAAGAGCTTTGAATAGTTCATTCCATGAATCTAAAAGAAGAGCAATAAAGATCCCATTTCCAATTGATGAGGAAGGCATTCAGTATATGCTTCTGAAACAACTATCTAGCAACCTAGAGCCAAAGAAAGTTAAATCTTTACCTCATACTTGATACTAAAAGTAATTACTGATGAATTAAATATAAAATATAAAAGCATAAAATAATAAAAATATTAGTGAAATTTTTATAAATTTTGGGCATGAAAACTTTTTTATATAGGACATCCAAAGCAGATGTAAAAATAAAAATATTTATAAATGTAAATATGTGAATCAAAATGTTACTATGCAAACATCATGTATTAGTCCATTTTCAGGGAAATGCAAATCGAAACCACAATGTGATACAACCTTACTCCTGCAAGAATGGCCATAATTAAAAAATTAAAAACAATAGATGTTGGTGTGGATATGGTGAAAAGGGAACACTTCTACACTGCTGGTGGGAATGTACAGTACTACAAACACTATGGAAAACAGTGTGGAGATTCCTTAAAGAAATAAAAGTACAACTACCATTTGATCCAGCAATCCCACTGGATCTACCCAGAGAAAAAGAAGTCATTATACCAAAAAAATACTTGCTCATGCATGTTTATAGCAGCATAATTCACAATTGCAAAAATGTAGAACCAACCCAAATGCCCATAAATCAGTGAATAGATAAAGAAACCGTATGAATAGAATAAAGAAACATGATGGAACACTACTCAACCATAAAAAGGAATGAATTAATGGCATTCATAGCAACCTGGATAGGATTAGAGACTATTATTCTAAGTGAAGTAACGCAGAAACGGAAAACCAAACATCGTATGTTCTCCCTGATATGTGGGTGCTAAGCCATGATGCACAAAGGCATAAGAATGAGATGATGGACTTTGGGACTGAGAAGGAAAGAGTGGGAAGAGGGTGAGGGATAAATTGGGTTCAGTATATACTGCTTGGGAGATGGGTGCACAAATATCTCACAAATCACCACTAAAGAACTTACTCATGTAACCAAATACCACCTGCTCCCCAAAAACCTATGGAAATAAAATTTTAAAAACCCCAACTGCCTGAAACTCAGTAATTTATAAAGAAAAGAGGTTTAATTGACTCACAGTTCAGTATGCTGGGAAGGCCTCAGTCATGGTAGAAGGCAAAAGGGAAGCAAGTCACCTTCTTCACAAGGCGGCAAGAAAGAGAATGAATGCAAGAGGAACTACCAAACACTTATAAAACCATTAGATGTTGGGAGAACTCACTCACTATCATGAGAACAGCATGCAGAAAGAGCCCCCATGACTCAAACACCGCCACCTGGTCTCTCCCTTGACACGTGGTGATAATGGAGATTATGGGGATTAATTTTTTTTTTTTTTTTTTTGAGATGAAGGCTTGCTCTGTTGCCCAGGCTGGAGTGCAGTGGCACAATCTTGGCTCAGTGCAACCTCTGCCTTCCAGGTTCAAGCCTCCTGAGTAGCTGGGATTACAGGCGTGCACCACCATGCCTGGCTAATTTCTGTATTTTTAGTACAGATGGGGTTTCACCATGTTGGCCAGGTTGGTCTCGAACTCCTGACTTCAGGTGATCCACACACCTCGGTCTCCCAAACTGCTGGAATTATAGGCATGAGCCACCACATCTGGCCAGGGATTAAAATTTGGGGTGACATATTGAGTGGGTACACAGCCAAACCATATCACATTGCCATGATATAAAATGCAAAGGGCACACTGGAAGCAGAAGAGTGTGGGTAGGGGAATGGAGAAGAAGTGGGTTTGAGTGGGTGGCAGACTCAAAGAAAAGAGGGGGAATGGAGAGAGTGAGCACACAAAAAATACTTTCAAGAAGTTTGTGCAAAGACAGAGAAAATTAGAGTGGGCTGTAGAGGGAGATGTGGGGTGCAAACATTTTCTTTCCAAAGAAGAGTCTTAATTTTCAAAAGTGAGGTAGAAGGTTCCAGTTGACAGTCTAAGAACCATATTACAGACTTAATGGGACCCCTCCAGTCCTCATCTTACCTGACCCAAGGCATATGGCACTGTTCATGCTCCTTCTGGAAATATCTTCCTTGGCTTCCAGGATCCTACATTCCTTTTTATCTCCTTTCATCCTCGGGTTTCCTTAGCTTTGGCAGGCTCATCCTCATGCCCCAACCCACCTGATGGAATTTCTCAACATGATGTCCCAGGTCTTGTCTTTTGTCATTATCACTGTCTCAAGCAAGATAATCTCCACCCATAGCTACTACTTAAATGCTGATGACTCTCAAACAATCTTTCACTCAAAGACTCTTCTCTGAACTTCAGACCTATATACCCAGCTGGCCATTCAGAATCTCTTTTTGGAGGCCTGCAAGCCATATTAACCACATTGATCCTGCCACAATCAACCCAGGACCAAACTTTGAATCTCTCTGCACCCCAAGCCAGCTCTCTTAAATCTATTCAACTGCATAGGTAACCAGGCCAGGAATCATCCTAGTTATTTTCATTTCTTTCAACTCTGATACTCAAATTATCACCAAGTGCTATTGATTTTGTCTCCTAAGCAATCTTGCAATGTATCCAGACATCTCCATCTGCCCTGCCAATAACCTAGCTAATGCTATCAGCTACTCTTATGCAAACTCCAAATAATATTAACTCATATGGCCTCCAAGCCATTGTCTGTTTGACTGACAATAGTAAGATCTTCATAGCAATTTCCTGTTTCTCCCCTGCATGATCCGAAACTTGACTCTTTCTCCATTCTCCTCTCGAGTCATGCTCCAAGTTGGTCTCTAACTTCAGCATCCCTAGCCTTGTAGTTTTTAAAAATGCAGCCTCTCAGGTTTTTTCTGTGTACTGACCTTTCTGTCTGGAATGCTCTTCCCCTACTCAGCCCACTTGATCTGGCTGACTCTTGTCATCTTTCACATCTCAGGTTCACCATCACCTCCTTAAAGACCCCAGGAGTCCGAGTCATGTTCCGTATATGATGCACTCTTCAAGATCAGCATTCCTTTCCTCCATGGCATTTACCTCAGTCTGCCGTTATTCAATTATTGGTGTGATTATTTATATATTTGATTTAAACCACTCTTCTCCACTAGTGTATGACCGCATGAGAGGAAGAGTCATGTTTATTTTTCTAACCTATATCCCAGACACATCATACAGTGGCTAGTACAAAATAAGATCATAGTAAAGGATAAATACATTAATGAATGAATAAATGAATGAATCAATGAAATAATTAGGGGACCCTAGACAAACTGCCGCACATCTCTGTGTCTTATTCACCTGTCTACAGAACTATTATGAAGATAAAATGAGAAAACACATGTGAAGGCACATTATAGGCATCATTTAACTGAAATTGACATACTGCTCATGGCAGGTCTCACATCCCTCCCTCTCCATGAATTAGACTTGACAAAGCTCCAAGCAAGCACTGTTCATGCACAACTGCACACTCACCTCTGCAGACTGGTCTCCACGACCCAGACTTCAGCAACATTTACTTTCTAGATTTAAAAGTTTAACTTGACACTGAGAACGATGCATACCTGGTTGATTTGATTGTTCCTAATCTTTTTCAGTGCTTAGGGTAAGCAGAGTTCACAAGCTTAAAATCCTCTTCAACCAGGAGTCTAGGGGATAGAATCTTATTCCAAAAGACAGTTTATTTTAATGTCAGGGTGTGGAGCAGACACAGCTGAACATTTAAGGCCAAGGCCATGTGTGTGTTTTAGCATCCAGCACATGTGCTTGAATACTGACACCCCAACACACACATATACACATATCCAAAACAAGGAGAAAATAATAAATTCTGGGTGGCCCCAGTGTTTGGAGAATGAATAAGATGAGCCATTCTTATTGCCAATCTTGGGAGCAACCAGGAGACTTTGCCTTTCTGAAGATTCTGACAATTATTTAGGTAAAAAAAAAAAAAAATTAGTATTTAAAGGACTACAAAGAAAAAAAAAAACCAACTTGATCCATCCTTGTCTTTCTGTCTCTACTCTTTAATTTTGAGCCACACCTACAACAAACTTACTGAATTGCAAAATAGCCAAGGAGGCTTAAGGACCCTAAGAAATGCATCAGAGGAATATACAGAGGCCAGGAAAAGTGAAGACAGCAATGGGGAGGGTGAAAGGTTTTCACAAATGTCTGTTATGGCAAGCACTACGACGCCAGCACTGGGGTGAAGGGGCTTGCACCCCACCCATCCCTGCCCATTCCCAGCCACAGCTGTCCAGTCGACAGACTATGTAAATTATGGGGTGGCTTGCCAGCTTTCAGCTGGTGTGATTAAGCATCTGCAATTAATTGGAGTTCTAAAATCTTCCCACCTCCCTTTTCCACAGCAGACATTCAAAATTTAATTAGCAAGAAAGTAAAAGGGGATTGAGCAATTCTCTGCTGTGTTTAGTTAAGTTCATCAGTTCATTCAAATCAGCCCCGAACAGAAACAAAACAACAGATGAAGCTTTGTGACCAAAACAGCAGGTTTGAGAGTATAGATGGCTTATTTTAAAGTTTAGAAAGTTTTCACTGAGTTTAAAAGAGAAAGAAAGTATAAAAACAAACATTTTTAAAGTCAAACATTTAAGACCCAAATAATAATTGCTGTCATTCGAAAAAGAAAAGTAACAATTCATGTGATTATGATGTTTAAGAGCAATACCTGTTATGAGTCTCTAGTATTTATTTCAACTAAAAACATTATTTTCATATATCCTGTATCTCTATCAATTTATCCCTTTGTTTATACACTTTTTTCTCCTTCCTCCCTCCCTCCCTTCCTTCCTTCCCTCTTTCTTTCCTTCCTTTCCTTCTTTCTTTCTTTCTCTTTCTTTATTTCTTTCTCTTTCTTCCTCCCTTCCTTCCTTTCTTCCTTCCTTTCTTTCTTTCTTTTTCTTTCTTTTTTTTTAAGATGGAGTCTCCCTCTGTTGCCCAGGCTGGAGTGCAATGGCACAATCTCAGCTCACTGCAACCTCTGCCTCCCGGGTTCAAGCGATTCTCCTGCCTCAGCCTCCCGAGTAGCTGGGACTACAGGCATGTGCCACCATGCCCAGTTCTGGGGTACATGTGCAGGACATGCAGTTTTGTTTCATAGGTAAACAAATGTGTGCCATGGTGGTTTGCTGCACCTATCAGCCTATCACCTACAAGCCCCACATGCATTAGCTATTTTTCTTGATGCTCTCCCTCCCCCAACCCCACAAACAGGCCCCAGTGTGTCTTGTTCCCTACTCCGTGTCCACGTGTTCCCATTGTTCAGCTTCCACTTATAAGTGAGAACATGCAGTGTTTGGTTTTCTGATCCCGCATTAGTTTGCTGAGGATAATGGCTTTGAGCTCCATCCATGTCCCTGCAAAGGACATGATTTCATTCCTTGTTATGGCTGCATCATATTCCATGGTGTAAATGTACCACATTTTCTTTATCCAGTCTGTCATTGATGGGCATTTAGGTTGATTCCCTGTCTTTGCTATGGTAAATAGTCCTGCAATGAGCATATGCATGCATGTATCTTTATAATAAAATTATTTATATTCCATTGGGTATATACCCAGTAATAGGATTGCTGGGTCAAATGGTATTTTCACCTCTAGATTTTTCAGGAATTGCCACACTGTCTTCCACAATGGATTAAACTAATATACTCTCCCATCAACAGTGTAAAAGCCTTCCTTTTTCTCTGCAACCTCGCCAGCATCTGTTGTTTCTTGACTTTTTAATAATTAATTCTGACTGGCGTGAGATGGTATCTCAATGTGGTTTTGATTTGCATTTCTCTAAAGATCAGTGATGTTGAGTTTTTTTCACATCTTCGTTGGCCGCATGTAGGTCTTCTTTTGAGAAGTGACTGTTCATGTCCTTTGCCCACTTTTTAATTGGGTTGTTTGTTTTTGTTCCTGTAAATTCGTTTAAGTTCCTTGTAGATTCGGGACCTTGAAATTCCCACAGGGAGGCCCTACCCAGTGAGGAGGGACGGATCGGGGGTCCAGCCTAAAGAGGTAATCTGGCCACGATCTTCCACTGCGGCTGTGCTTCCCTGTGGGGAATTCCTCCTGAGTCCACATTGCTCAGTGTTTCCCGTTCCGGCAGTTGCCTCGGTTGCTGGTGCAGGATTCACTCCCCATTTCTGTTCCTCTCAGTGGGAGCCTCTGATCACAGCTGTTTCTAGTCAGCCATCTTGCCAAGTCATTCTCACATTTTTTGTTTTCCTGGAGCATTTTTTAAAATACCAGACAGCCTATAATTTTGTCCTTCCATAATTTAATAAGCAAATAATAACTTTTTTTTTTTTTTTTTTACATGGAGTCTCACTCTGTCGTCCAGGCTGGAGTGCAGTGGCACAATCTTGGCTCACTGCAACCTCCGCCTCCCAGGTTCAAGCGACTATCCTGCCTCAGCCTCCCGAGTAGCTGGGATTACAGGAGCATGCCACCGCACCTGGCTAATTTTTATATATATATATTTTTGGTAGAGACGGGGTTTCACCATGTTGGCCAGGCTGGTCTCAAACTCCTGACCTCCAGTGATCCACCCGCCTCGGCCTCCCAAAGTGCTGGGAGTACAGGCATGAGCCACCATGCCCAGACAATAATAAAGTTTTTAAAAACATGACTATGAGTCATAAGCACAACTATAAAAAAATTAAAAAAATTCTTATTATCTAATTAACCATCCATATTCACATTCTCCTAATTAATGCCAAAGATACCTGTTTACAACTAGCTTGTTCAGATCAAAATCAACGGTTCTACATATTGCATTTGATTGTTATGCCTCTTTCATATAATTGAGTCAGGATTTTCTAAATCCACTTTGCTAAACTCTGCCTTTTGATTGGTGTATTTAGACCACTTATATATAAGGAACTTAATGATATGTTAGTATTCAAATCTGCCATTTTATAGCTTATTTTCTATTTTTTTCTATTTCTTGTTATTGCCATTCTGTTGGTTGCTTGAATTTTTTTTTTCTAGAATTCCATCTTGATTTATTTATAGCATTTGGGGTGTATTTTTGTGTATAGTTTCTGTAGTGGTTGCCCTGGGCATTACAAAATATATATGTAATAATCTACCAGTGTCAACATTTTATAACTTCAAATATAGTATGGAAACTTCATTCTGTTTAGGAAGCCATCTTCTTCACTCTTAAATATCATTACCTTAAGTATTGTGTTATAATTTTTGTTTCAATGATCAAATATAATTTAAAATCCTTGTCAGATAATTCCAACATTGAACTTAGTGCAGTGTCAGGTGATTTTCTTTCTCATTCGAGTTGTCATTTCCTTGGTTCTTGGTGTGATGGGTAATTTTCTACTGTATCCTCAACATTTTGTCTAGTATGTTAAGAGACTCTGGGGTCCTCTTTAAATCTTTTATTTTAAGTGGCAGTCACCCTGTTTAGATTTATCACATACGTAAGTCTTGGCCAACTTTTTTAGGCTATGGTTCCAATGGCAGTTTAATTTTCAGAGACTTTGTGGTGTTACATTGGACTACTTAACATGTCTGGTGTTTCTCGGGCTCCCACTGGTTCTTGCTGGTGCTGCTTGAGGAAGGAGAGTGATTCCCCTCACTGCTTATTGATAGGTCTCCAAATTGATTCCTCCTCAAAGGTAGTGTTGGGCTCGCCTGATGCAGAGGGGCTGCTGATGGATCCAGGAGAGCAATGAGCCTACGTGGGCTTCCATCTGTTGCTCTGCTGAGGTAGGAAAATACTGGGTCTAGGTGTCCTTGTTCTTTTGAAAGGAGGCATGAGTGTCACCCTGCCACTATGTTGTTCTTAGGGTCCCAAATCAGTTAATCTTCTTCCACTAGTGTTTAGAGTTCTCCTTTGGTTGTCTCTTGAGTAATTTTCAGGGGTTACAGTTATACTTAGCAGGGAAGAGTGGGAAGAAATGGGTCTATACCGACTTTTATCAACTGAATTCTTTTGAATCCTTTTGATACCGTTGCATGAGTTCACTTTGACAGCTCCGTTGCTTTCTGACCCACAATATATCTGATCCTTCTCAGACATTTCCTTACCCAGATGTGAAATGATACATTTCTGCAAAGACTCTGGTTCCTTCCTGGTAGGAAATGGCATTTAGGACAACAGTCTAGGTACACATTGCTTCTATGTGTCTTCGCTTCTAGGCCTTTTCAGTAAAGAGAAAAAAGAAAAAATATATATATATATATTTTTTAAGGGAAAAAATAGTCATAATTTAAATTGATGATTCCACTTCAAAATTACAATTATTAAATGACTTTGATTTTAAACTTGTATTTTTTCTACACAAAAATTCTGTTTCTAATATATTCAAAATTACTTATTTGTATCAACTTATAGAATAACTATAATAGTTTCAAAATAAGACTGTAAATATTACTAACAATAATAATACTAAAAAAGCTTAAAAATTATTGTGAGTACTTTTCCTTTACAATACATCTTACTGGAGGTGCTCAGTTGAAATATGGTGTTTAAAGTCACTTGAAATAATTATTTTCTCTGTGTGATTATGCAATCTTTTGATATAGATATTTTGTTCATTTATTTACACTTGCTCTTAAGTTTAGATATTACTTTTTCCCCTTTTTTGTCAAAATAACTTTTTTAAAGTATATATTTATCTAATACCAAATTATGTAATAAAGTATATTCACTTAAGTTTCGTTACCACTCTCTTTTTCTGTTTTGTTCTCTGTCTCCCCAGGGAGGAGATTATTTTACCTAGGTTTATGTTTATCCTTTCATTAATTTGTTCTGAAAATATAAGTAACTATATTTCGAAAATGTACCTATACTTTTTAAACAAAAGTTAGCCTGCCCGATATACTCTTACACATCTTGCTTTTATTTTACTTTATTCCATAATTAATTTTATTTTTATTTACTCCATACTAACATGTAGAGCTCTCCCTGTTAAAATAATGAGATTTAATAATAAAATTATAGAATATCTTCCCTTCCCAACATCTTACTACCATATCAACAGGGTTCACGTATAATAGTGGATTAAACCTGAAAGAGCAGCAAGATTCAGATAGACCCTCTCTGAGTAGCAGTCCTCAAGGCACTCAAAGTCAATAAGGGAGACAAAAATAAGGACCCTAGAGGGATTTGAAATATCTGGCACCTACACCTATATCAAACACTAAACATTGTCCAACGCTGACCCAAACTAACTTAAAACCATACATTAAGATCGTGCTTATCTCAGTTTCCATTATGCAGTATGTGGTGTTCAGCTTTTAACAAAGACTTACAAATCATGTTGGAATGTAAGAGATAACACAATTTGAAGAGGAAAAGAATCAATCAACATTACTACATTCAATATGACAAAAATGCTAGTATTATCAGAGAAGAAAATTTTAAACTATGATTTATATGATAAGGTTTTTAATAGAAAAAGTAGATAATGTGAAAAATAAGTGAATAATATAAGCTGAGTGATAAAAACTCTAAGCAAGAATTTTTTAAAATGCTAGAAATAAAAATGTGTACAACAGAAATGAGCAATACCTTTAATGGACTTATCAGTAGACTGGGCAAAGCTAAAGAAAGAATCTATGAGCTTGACCACAGTCAATACAAACTCCCCACACAAAAACATAGGGAGGAAAATGAATAATAATATTTTAAAAATGAAAAAAATTCAAGAATTGTGGGTATGACATATGCATATTTGACATACTAGAAGATAGGAAAGTGAGAACAGAGCAAAACAGTAAGTAATTGTTTGAAGTAATAATGGCTGGGAACTTTCCAAAATTAATGACAAATACTAAACCACAGATGCAAAACACAAAGCCCGATAAGTACCAGACAAACAAACAAAATAAGACAAAACAACAAAACACTTACAGTTAGCCATATCATATCTAAACAGCAGCAAACCAAAGACAAAGAGGACATATTGAAAGAAGACAAGGGGAAAAAAAGCCTTATCTATAGAAAAAAAAAGAATAAGAGTTACAGCAGAATTCTCACCAGAAATCATGTACAAAAGAAGAGAATGGGGTGAAATATTTAATGTTCAATAACAAAATTTACCAACTTAGAATTTTGTATCCAGGAAAATTATCCTTTATAAGTGAAGGATAAATAGGAAAACAAAAACTGAGAAAATTTATTGACAACAAACCTGAAAGAAATATTGAAAGATGTTTTTCAGGAAGAGGAAAAATGACATATATATAAGAAACTCCTATCTATATAAAGAAAGAAAGAATATTGGGGGAGGAATAAATGAATCTATTATAGAATCAAGTCCTTTATTTTTCTTGTTCTTAAAATATATAAAATATAATGCATTGCCTAAAGTATAGTAGTAGCAATTTATTAGGAGATTATAACATATAGATAAGGAAAATGAATGATAATGAGGTTATAAGAGATGGAATTGGGAATACTTTGTTATAAGGTGACTATACTTTAAATGAAGCAATATAATGTTATTTTAAAATGGGCTGAGATTAATTAAAAATACATATTGCAAGCTCTAGGACAACAACTAAATTTTTTAAAAGAAGTAAAATGTATATGTTAAAACAGGAGATAAAATGGAATCATATAAAATGCCTAATTAAAACCAAAGCCTAGGCATGGTGGCTCACACCTATAATTCCAGCACTTTGAGAAGCCGAGGCTGGAGAATCACTTGAGGCCAGGAGTTTGAAACCAGCTTGGACAACATAGCAAAACCCCATATCTACAAAAAGTTAAAAAATTAGCTGGGTACAGTGATGCACACCTGTAGTCCAAACTACTCAGGAGGCTGAGGTTGGAGGATCATTTGAGCCCAGGCATTTGAGGTTACAATGAGCTATGATCACACTACTGTATTCCAGTTTGAGTGACAGAGTGAGACCCTGCTTTTAAAAAAAAAATGACCTAAAAATAATAACTAAATAAATAAAATTATAAAAGGCAGAGAATAAAGGAAAATGCAATGAATAGAAAACAGTTACAAACATAGTAGATATTAATCCAAATGTAAAAATACAAGACCCAACTATACCTTGTCCATGAGAAATCCACTTTAAGCCTGGCCAACATGGCAAAACCCTGTCTCTACTTAAGAATACAAAAATTAGCCTGGCATGGTAGTGCATGCTTGTAGTCCCAGCTACTCAGGAGACTGAGGAAGGAGGATCACTTGAACCCAGGAGGCAGAGGTTGCAGTGAGTTGAGATCATCACACTGCACTCCAGCCTGGGCAATGAGCAAGACCCTGTCTTTAAAAAGAAAACAAAGGGCCAGGTGCAGTGGCTCACACCTATAATCCCAGCACTTTGGGAGGCCGAGGTGGGAGGATCATGAGGTCAGCAGATCGAGACCATCCTGGCTAACATGGTGAAACTCCATCTCTACTAAAAATACAAAAAATTAGCCGGGCGTGGTAGTGGGCGCCTGTAGTCCCAGCTACTCCAGAGGCTGAGGCAGGAGAATGGCATGAACCCAGGAGGCGGAGATTGCAGTGAGCCAAGATCGTCCCACTGCACTCCAGCCTGGGCAACAGAACAAGACTCCATCTCAAAAAAAAAAAAAAAAAGAAAAAAAAAGAAGAAAAGAAAGAAACCCACTTTAAATATAAAGATACAGATAGGTTAGAGAGAGAGAGAGAGAGAGAGAGAGATGGAAAAATATATACCATTCTAACAGCAATCAAAAGAAGGTTGGGGTAGCTATATTAATTTCAAAGCACAGAGTTCAGAGAAAAAAAATTTCAGGGATGAAGAGGAACGTTAAATAACAAAGCCATCAGTAATAGGCCAATTCTCCAAGAAAATATAATAATGGCCCTTAATATGTACGTTTCTAACAACAGAGCATCAAAATATGTGAGGCAAAATTGACAGAAATTCAAGGTGAAATATAAAATTCCACTATTGTAGTCAGAGACTTAAGCATCCCTAATTCAGTAATTAATAGATCAAGCACATAGAACATTAGTCAGAATAGAGTTGAGCTGAACATCACTGTCAATCAACTTAATCTGAATCCAAAAACAGCAGAATACACATTGTTCTCAAGCTCATATGGGACATTCTACAAGATAGACCCACACTTTAGCAAATTTTAAATAGCAGAAGTCATACAAAGCATGTTTCCAGACCACAATGGAATTAAACTAAAAATCAATACTAGAAATATAGCTGTACAATATCCAAATATTTGAAAACCTGCCTAAGTAATATAGTCAAAGAAGTCTCAAGAGGAATTTTAAAATGTTTTGACTTAATGAAAATGGAAATACAACCTATTAAAATCTGTGGGATGCAGCAAAAGAGGGAAATTTAAAACATTAAATGCATATATTAGAAAAGCAGAATCTTAAATCAATAATCTAAGCTTCCACCTGAAAAAACTAGAGAGCAATTTGAACCTAAAAGAAGTAGAGTAAAAGAAATAGTAAATTTAGAGCAAAAAATATGTGAAATTGAAAACAGAAAAACAATAGGGGCAAATCGATAAAACCAAAAGCTGGTTCTAGAAAAGACCAATCTTGCTTATACTTAATGTTCAGAGCTTTACCCTAAACCTATTCTTATTTAATATTAATCTTATTAATCTTCACTTAGCAACTGTCTGAAGGCAGCATGGAGGAGACTTGATATGTGGATTTCTACCCTTCTCTGAGGCTTTATTAAACCAGTGTGGACCTTCTCTTACTTAGTATTATACCCCACCCTGTGTGACTTTAAGGCCAACCTCAAAGGTTCTCCTCACTTCCAGTGAGTCTTGGACATGTGATGGAGCTGGGAGGCTTGTACTTTCATGGATATTTTTGTTGTCAACATCTACACGTCTCCAAACAGAAACAGCAATGAGATGTTGTTTTCAGAATTTTGCTGATGTTTCTGGTCACTTTTTATGCTTTCATGGGCTGTAAAATTAAGAACCCCCTGTTGTGACATCTCACAGAACTGTATATTCTAGAAAACCTAGCTTCTCTTTCAATGGCCACAGAGGCAGCATCCACCCACTGTTTCTATCTTTGAGTGTTACTGGTGTATTTTTGCTGTATTTTAAGTCTGTTGAATGAACAATTTTTAAATCTTGGAGCAAGAAAAAATTTAAGATTTGTCTTATCTTAGCCTCCTAACCCATTAGTTTGTGAACTATGCTAACATTACAAGCTTTTGCCCTCTCTTTGTGGATACCAGCTATGGACATTGAGTCACAGAGAGATAGGTGGTGGGGAAACTAATATTTGCTAACCACATACTAGGCTCTACAATTGTGGGTATTTAATTTTGTCATTTTATTTAAACTTCACACAAATCTATTTGCTAAGTATTCTGACTGCCATTTTACAGATCAAAGAATAATGGTTGTGATAGTTAATATTGAGTGTCAACTTGACTGGATTGAAGAATGCAAAATATTGCTCCTGGGTGTGTCTGTGAGGGTGCTGACAAAGGAGATTAACATTTGAGTCAGTGGACTGGAAGAGGCAGACCCACTCTCAATCTGGGTGGGTACCATCTAATCAGCTGCCAGCACAGCTAGAATAAAGGAGGCAGAACGTGGAAGGACTAGATAGGTTGAGTCTTCCAGCCTTCATCTTTCTCCCATGCTGGATGCTTCCTGCCCTCAAACACTGGACTCGAAGTTCTTCAGCTTTTGGACTCTTGTATATATAACAGTGGTTTGCCACGGGCTCATGGACCTTCAGCCACAGACTAAAGGCCGCACTTTTGGCTTCCCTACTTTTGAGGTTTTGGGATTCGGACTGGCTTCCTTGCTCCTCAGCTTGCAGAGGACCTATTGTGGGACTTCACCTTGTGATTGTGTGAGTCAATACTCCTTAATAAACGCCCTTTCAAATATACATCTATCCTATTAGTCCTGTCCCTCTAGAGAACCCTGACTAATACAATAGCTAAAAGAGACTAAGAAAGATATCCATTATCTACACAGTCAGTGAACAAGAAATCGAGCCCATGGCTAAGTGGCTTTATGTAAATACAGTTTCTACCCATTAGACGCCATTGCTGGCATAAGCATCATGGCGTCTGTCTGGAACAAGGCAGGGAATTCAGGGCATATCTACCCAAGCACTGGCAACTCTGACCATGAAGAAATCTATTTAACCTTTTCCACTCACTAGATACTATTTAAGCGTCATTCACATATCAAAGAGTAGCTTTCTGGGAAAATAATCCAAAGTGAGAAGAAGTGAGAAAGGGAGTTTTAAATCATTCTATGGATGACAATGGCAGGGATGTGTAATGAAGGGGCCAATCTTCCTGGGAGCCACTAGCAGTTGCAGCTGACTGCCTTTAACTTCAATCCACACATTCAAAACAATGGTTGCAAGGAGAGATGTCTGCAAGGCCAAGCATAGCAACACTGGCTTCCACCCTTGGTAAATGGTGGCAAAGACGGTGGTGGGGGAGAACAGTGTGAAAAGAATAAAAACTATATGGCAGCCAGATGTTCAACTCACAATAAGTAATTTTTCAGTGTCACTTTCACAGCTCACAGATCCTGGATCTTCTGCTTTGAAGAAAGTTTGGGCTTTGGCAGAATCGGGTGCTATTAGCCCAAAGAATGAAGCTCATGACTTAAGAGTTTCCATCACGACTCTTGTCAGGGGAAGCATTCTTTCCCAGGCACACCTCTCTTTGTCTCTGGGTTTCAGGAGCAAAAGTTCTGCAAGAGTCTCTAAGGTGAGTCAGTGCCTGTGAGCCCTGGTTGCTCTTCCAATTTAAGACCTCAGGGTTGAAATAAAGCCAGACTATGGAGCAAACCCTAATCCCTTGGAGTTTGGATGTTTGTTCATGCAGAATTTAGTGCTGTCTCAACAGACAGGCACAAACATGTTTCTTAAAGCAGGGGTGAAAGGCATGTGAGGCAGGAAGAAAATATCAAATTGAGCGCTTAGGAGAAGCTTCAGTTCCCTTCTCTAGTTCTACAAGAGTGTGTAGAAAACCAATATACATTGTAAACCAAAAATAAAATCCTACATCCCCCAAATGACTGAATGGACCCCTCTGGGCCAAGGGGAAGCTGAAAAACTGAATTCCTGACCATGATGGGAAAAGAGCTCAGACATACCTCATTATACCCCCTCACTTTTGGAATTTAGGCACAACTGACCAGCATTAACATTAAAATAGAGATCATGTAACTGCTAAAGCAGACTCTTTGTGTCAACAAGATACCAAATTCTAACCTGAATCTGGGATAGCATCACATGACACATCGCATGCCCTAAAGGAAATCAAAATATTTTACCCCAAAATATAATATAGTTATATAGTTCTCTGACATATATTTCTTTTTCTTTTTCTTTTTTTTTTTTTTTTTTTTTTTGAGACAGAGTCTCACGCTGTCACCCAGGCTGGAGTGCAGTGGTGCAATTTTGGCTCACCGCAACCTCCGCTTCCTGGGTTCAAGTGAGTGTCCTGGCTCAGCCTCCCAAGTAGCTGGGTTTATGGGCACCCGCCACCACGCCCAGCTAATTTTTTGTATATTTAATAGAGACGGGGTTTCACTATGTTGGCCAGGCTCATCTCGAGCTCCTGACCTCATGATTTACCCACCTGGGCTTCCCAAAGTGCTGGGATTACAGGCTGAGCCACCTCACCCGTCCTCTCTAACATATTTTTAAATGGCCCTGCAAAGCCCTCTCTTGTGGCAGAAATTAGCCTCTGTATAGAATCTCCTCTTACTAGGTCTTTACTGGATCCAGAAGAGATTTAACTGAGATTCCAAAACCTTTTAATGTCCAAAGAAAGGCATTTACCATCCTTTCTCTCTGAAGCCTGCTGCTTAGAGGTTTCATCTACGTAACAAGAACCTTGGCTTCTACAGCCTTCCCCATCTTAACTCAAGCATTTCTTTCTACTGAATTCAACTTTTTCGACAAAGCTTAACTCTTTCAAGCAATTACCAATCAGAAAATCTTTGAAATTACCTGTGACCTGTAAGCCCCACCCCCGCCAATTGCCAATCTGCACTTTCTGGGCTGAACCAATGTATACCTTACATGTATTAATTTATGTTTTTGCCTGTAACTTCAGTTTCCCTAAAATGTATAAAACCAAGCTGTAACCCAACCATCGCAGGCACATTTTCTCAGGACCTCTCAAGATTGTACCCCACGCCATGGTCAGTCATATTGGCTCAGATAACCTCTTCAAATATTTTACAGAGTTTGGCTTTTTTCATCAACATCAAACATAATTCTCTAAATAAGTTTTATACAGAATTTCCCAAGGTTTAATTCACTGTAAGAACACAGATTGAAATATAAAGCTTCTCTCTCTGAGTGGTGACATTACGGGCAATTCTACTTTTCCTTTGCATATGTATTTCTCAAGTTTTCTGCAATGATATTGCTTACAAGAGAATGACAGAGGAAGGAAGAATGGGAGGAAAATCAGATAACTTCAAACCTCACTATCTAGTACTGCTCAATTCTACCTTGGTAACTGAAGCTGGACATCCATTAGTATATTTTCCAAATATGCTTTTGTTGACAAGACACAAATTAAAATGTGACTATAAACTGGCATGGGAATCTGCACCTCAATTTTAATAGCAAGAAGAAAAACAAGGCGTTGAGCAAATGAAAGAGCATAAACACAAGGAAACATAGGGGAAAAAACAACCCCGGGAAGAGCATGGCAGAAATAATGGGACTCACCAGCATCCATTCCAGTCTCTAAGTCTAAACCAATCATAGCAGTTTCACCCGCTGTGTGTGACTGGTTCAGGAACGGGTCTCTAATCCCATTCTGACCTAAGAGACTGGAGTCTACCAGCCTGAGGGTGAAGATGACTCCCAGGCTGGCAGAGCAGAGGCCTCTAAAAAGCATGATGGTATCAGGAAAGCTCTGATCAGCCACTGCATTGTCTGCCCCTCTGTGATGTAAATAATGCTTGCCATCACTATTTGAAGCCAATTTGAGGTGTGTGTTCTGCTACTTACTACCCAACATGCCTTATTTGCACAAATGGCCATGCAGACTTCCTCTTCTTCACAATTTTACCTAAGGAATGAACTTATTTTGCAATCCTGTCACACTAGTAATCTTTTCTTTTGAAAAAAGTGGGGTATTGGTTACTCTGTCATGATGATTTGTGCCCTATTTTTTGTATTTGTCCTTTTTCTTCAATCTTGCATATGCATCTTGTTATGACATTCCACCTCCTGATTTTCTTATGATTGTTCATTGCGCATGGTAAAAACATAACAGTAATTTATTGCCTGTAACTGAAGAATTATGTACATAAAGCACACATTAACATGTTAACTTATTAGGACTAATATAGTCAATTAAAATGGAAATGTTCATTTATTCAAAGGATCATGTGTCAATCTTGCTTTGGAAAAAATACTGGCATGAAATCTAGCAATAAAGAAACACACACACACATACACAAATATTAACCACTTAATTAGTGCATTTATAGTTTCCTTGACAATCTTAAAATTCTGAATTACTTAGTAAAATACAAAAAGTACAAAAAATGTAAAATTTACTTGTGTACCAGAATTAACAAATATTAACATTTTGCCAATTTTTATTTCAAGCACTTTCTATTAAAAAAATAGGAGATTAAGGATGAAGTTGAAGTTTATTCCTCCCACAACTCGTTTCTCTATTTTCCTTCCTAAAAGTATCATGAAGTTTTTAAAAAATGTTTTAATATACACATTCATCCCAATGAACAAATTATAATATCACTTTATTTCTCCTTTTCTTCTTTTTAATTTTAATTTTTTTAGACAGAGTCTTGCTCTGTCGCCCAGGCTGGAGTACAGTGGCAAGATCTCAGTTCCCTACAACCTCCACCTCCAGAGTTCAAACAATTCTCCTGCCTCAGCCTCCCAAGTTGCTGGGATTACAGGCATGCACCATCACATCCAGCTAATTTTTGTATTTTGAGTAGAGACAGGGTTTCACCATCTTGGCCAGGCTTGTCTCGAACTCCTGACCTCAGGTAATCCACCAGCGTCAGCCTCCCAAAATGGGAGTAATGCCTGGGATTACAGGCATGAGCCACTGTGCCCAGTCCCTTTCTCCTTTTCTGATGGTTGTACAAAAATTCTTTCTATAGCGTGGATACGATCTTAAATCTGCTACATGTGTTGTAAATACATTCTCCCAGCCTCGTCTTTTAAATTTGATTATAATGTACTTCTTTCTTTCTCTTCTTTCCTTTGTTTTTGTTTTGATAGGGATGCTTTTCATTTGATTTAACTTATTTACCTTTTCATTTGTGTCTTGGGTTGTTTCTGTCTTAAGAAATTTTCTATTTTAAAACTATTTCGACTTTCATATTTTCTTACACATTTCTAGAGTATTTCCCTTGGGATTCGTGTGTGTATGGATATGTGTTTATTCTAAATGTCTTTTTGTAAAGTATTTTAACTATGAATTTATTGTTCATTTTTAATTTAACAGAATTGTGATCAGAGTATATAATGTGTATGATATTAATACTTTCAGTTTATCAAATTTTTTTATGGTCTCATGTGGTCAATATTTATTTTAAAAGTTACATATGGACTTGAATATAATGGTTTCTATTTGTTGGTTAAGATGTATATGTATGTATATAAACTGTGCATGTGTAATGGTTATGTATAGATACGTATAGTTAGGTAAAGTATATTTATATATTAATATATGTGTGTGGTATATATAATATATATAACATATTACATATACATACATATGTATTCATAGATACTACAATTATATACATGTGCACAAACACACACACACACACAGACATATAGAACACAGTTGTTAAAAGTGTCATTCAAATTTTTTACTATCCTACTAATTTTTTGTGTATTTCATCTGTCAGCTTCTGAGAGGTGTGAATTGAAATGTTCTTTACTGCAGATCTGTCAATTTCACCTTTTAATTCTGTAAGGCTTTCATTTCAATACCCATTTCTGTATTTTTGGGCATGCAATTTCGCATTTTCTATGTATCTCTGGGGATAAGCATCACTTTTATAGAGTATTCCTGTTTATATCTCTTGATGCTCTTTATCCTGAATAGATTTTCTCTAATATTATTACTATATCAGATTTTTATTAGTGCTTGTATAATACATACTTTCCTACAACTATATTTTCAACTGTCTGTTATTTTGCATCTAGTATTTCTCTTGCAGCAACATATAAGATTCAGATCTTACCCATTTTCCATGTAATTGTTCACCATTATTTTAGCCTCACCTGTTTACCTCTCTCAAAAGTCATTTTAGTTTTTATAGTCAATCAATGCTAGTTTACAGTTAACAACAATTTGTTCTTTTTATTTTTGTGTGCCAGTCTTCTATGTTAAATTTTCTTCTTTGAGAGATTGCATCTTATTGTCTAAAGGTGTCATTATTTTCCTCATTTTGTTGCAGGTTTTGTGATTCTAAGTTGATAGTTATTGATCTTCAAATCTCACCTGTCATATTAGACTATTGAACGGGAGTTGTGTCAGAGTCACTGGCAGGCAGTTTTGAATTTGCCTGAGCTGGAGGAACCTATGGGTTTCATTAAATCAGGAGCTTTTGTTGCAATTTTTTTTTTTTTTTTTTTTTGGCGACAGAGTTTTGCTCATGTTGCCCAGGCTGGAGTGCAGTGGTGCGATGTCGGCTCACTGCAACCTCTGCAACCCAGGTTCAAGCGATTCTCCTACCTCAGCCTCCTGAGTAGCTGGGATTACCGGCATGCGCCACCATGCCTGGCTAATTTTTGTATTTTTAGTAGAGACAGGGTTTCACCATGTTGGCCAGGCTGGTCTCGATCTCCTGACCTCTTCATCCACCTGCCTTGGCCTCCCAAAGTGCTGGGATTACAGGCGTGAACCACCACACCCAGCCTAATTTTTTTTTGGCTTGGTGTCACCATATCACATTAGAATCCTGGATTCAGAACTCACACCTACTTATGAAAGTGGCCAGGCCAACTTTTTTTCCGCACTGGTCCTTGGAAGACAGTAGCTTCATTTGCCAAGGACAGGAATCCCTTCTGTGGGCAGCAGTGGGACCTTAGCCCCCAGCCGTTGGAGCCTATGCCATTCCCTAGTTCCCCCATGAGCCTGCCGAGTGGCTTCAAGTCCCATGCACCATTGGCTTTGAGTTACTTATCCTTATTTTGTTTTTGGGTATTGCCTTCTTGGTGGGAGGCAGAGGGTTAAACATCTCTATACACTGAAATTTGTTTTTAAATTCGGCTTTTATAAGCGTTTGAAATGCGAAAGGAGATTTTCCCCAGCACCTTGGCCTGGTATCCTCCTTATTAGCCTATAGCTCTCCTAGAGCATGCCTCTGAATGGCGTGAATCTAAACAGCTAAATAGTGGGAGAGACTCTTATCACCTTGCAAACCATATAAGTGATTTTGATTAGAGGGATATAAAAAGATCAGTTCTGGTCATGGCTAATGTCCCCACAAGAGACTGGACTCTTGGGCTGTATGCCCACTATGAGAAACACTAGGTTATTATTGTATAGCACATGGAGAAGCTGGTATCAGCTGAGGCCTGTAGGCACTTCCAGCCTGAGCATGTTGGAGCCTGCAGAATACCATGGCCTCACCTTCTCCTTGCTTCAGCCAAACTCTACATGTGCAACAAAGTCCAGGCTCCTGTGTGTGGCATTCAAGAACCCTGATTAGCCCCTTTGGCCTATACAGAAGTTCTTATAGTCCTATGAACTAAATGTTTGCATCCCCCCAAATTCATACGTTGAAACTCTTATCCCCCCCCAATGTAATGGTATTTGGAGTTGTGACCTTTGGGAGGTGATTAGGTCATAAAAACAAATCTCTCATGAGTGGGATTAGTGCCCTTATAAGAAGAGATACTGTTTACCACAAGAGGACACAGCAAGAAGATGGCCATGTGTAAACTAAGAAGAAGGACCTCACCAGAACCCGACCACACCGGTACCCTGATCTCAGATTTCCAGTCTCCAGAACTGTGAAAAATAAATGTTTGTGTTTAAGCCACCCAGTCTACAGTAGCTCAAACTAAGACATCTAGTTTTCTGAAAGCAACATCCTCTTCTTCACCACTGTGCCTGTCCATGTGCTATTCTCTGTCCAGCTGACTTCCCCATCCCTGTCTTGGAAAACTTGCACTCATGCTCTGAGACAGACCTCAGGGATCACTGCATTTGTTAAGCTTTCCTGTCCTTTCACACTTCGACCCTGGCAGTGGTTAGCATTCCCTCCTGTCTAAGGCATCTTTGGCCTCTACAAAAGAGCTCATTGCAAAATGTATTCATAAACTTTTCCCTGCCTCCCTAACAACAATGTAAGCAATGAAAGGGAAATAATGTGTTTTACTTGGTTTTACATCCCAGGCATTTGACATGGTATCTGGTGCAAGACTGATGCTCAGTAAAGTAATGTTAAGTGAAAAGGGCATCTGTGCGAGCAAAGACTTCTAATTCCTTTCTGGTCTCAACTTGACCAGCCTTTTACACACAGGCCCCTGAATCCCTGCTTTCATCTTAGGGCTGAAACCCAGCCCTGAACCTCAGCTCAGTCAGCTACTAGCTCTAATCCTGAACTCCTCCTGGGAATGTGGCCCATGAGATAATTTATTGTCTTTGTGTATCTCAGCTTGAGCCTAGGCTATAGGCTTGTCTTTATATGTCAGGAGGCCCAGGGAGTAGGAACAGCCCAAGGTAAATTTATATTAGAGGGTGAGCAAACTCTTCTCAATGGAAGGAGTCAGGCACAAAGAGCCTCATCTTTTCCCAAAGCACAAATCTGCAAGGATGGACTTGATTCATTCAGTCAATGTTGTTTTCAGTGTCCACTGTATTCTGGAACTGTGCCCAGGAATGGGGTGTTGAAATGAGCAAGGCAGGTGTGATCTCTCACCTCCTGGATCCTGGATGAGAATCCATTAAAACAATTTAACTTCAATCTCCAGATCTCACCAACTGTGACTGCAAATATGTCACGTAACCTTTAGTATTCAAACCAAAGCAATCTGGAGCAGTCTACTTGGACAGATTTCCTAGAATCACACCTTGCCCTCAGGTTTGTTGTTCTCCAAGTTCCCTCACAATCTGTTCTCTGCCCTGCTCTGTGCCCCCAGGAGGGCTACTCACCCTCTACTCTCTAGATTTTAGCTAACAGCAGCCATAAGGAAGTACCTATGGGGTATTGGAGGACAGGAGGAGAGAGAGATAGGGTGGGTGGGGAAAGAGAGAAAGAGAGCAGGGAAGGGGTAAGAGAGAGAGGAGAGAGGGGGTGAGAAAGAGAGGAGACAGAAAGAGAGGGAGAGAGGAGAGAGAGAAGAGAGAGGAGAGAAAGGAGTAGGGAGAGAGGAAAGGGAGAAGAGGGGGAGAAAGGAGAGAGAGAGGGGCGTGTGTGTGTGTGTGTGTGTGTGTGTGTGTGTGTGTGTGTGTGTGTGTGTGTGTGTGAAGGTTCTTAATCCCCTTAGGCTTTTCCTGAGTCACTCAGTCCTCTGTTCCTCTAATTATGCTCATCTGATTCTGTTTAGCCTTAGGGATGGCACCTCCTTCCCCTTGGACCTGTAGCCCTAGTTTAGTAACAGCTTTTTTCTGTTGATAGCCCTGGGGTGCCTCATTATCCCTTGTTGACTGGCTGATAGCTGGGCTATCCAGGCATCTCGAGTTAGGCCTCACTGATAGAGCTTGTTGTGCTCTTGCCTAACTTGGTTTTCTCCCCACACTGGGTGAGATCATCTGCCAATAAGATAAGACTGGGGAGTGTAAAACTGTGACTCATTCATTGACAGTCTACAGTCAAACCCTGTGCTAGCACTTTATTCCTGCCTACGCCTCTGCAAAAAGTTGCTTCACTGGACACTCTCTAGTCATGCTTTTGAATGCACCATCAGTTTCCTGCTGAGACCGTGATTGACATATGCACCATGCTTCCCCCTCCCTCCTACACACACCCAGCATGTTCCCATGATCCTTGAAGATTCTCAGGTGAGTCACATTGTTCACAATGTCCTTGTCATTCGTGCTGTTGTAGGGTAAACATACCTGATAGCAATAACGCCAGCATAACCTTAGGATGACCCCGATGGCAGATGCACCTGAATGTGTGTTCTGAGCTAGGGGATGTGGGAGTGGCCAACCCAGAGCTTCATTTCTTGTCTATGAGTAACATTAAGCTCCAGGCCCAACCAATGGAACACGGGCTATACAACGCATTAAGGCCCTGAGTTTTGGATTAAATGAATGTTGCCCGGTGGAGGTCGTTAAGGGGAGGATGTTAAGTGAAAATGCTATATAAGCTGCAGGCTGCTTGCAAGCAGTTGCAGTTTTCCTCCCCAACCCGATACTATGGGGGCTGTGCGTTTATCTTGTTCAGCTCACGTCACTGGACCATAGGACTGTGGATATGTTGTCCAGCCTACTGCCACGGGGTCATTTCTGTAAGTAGGGTGGTTCTCCGGTCCAGCCTGCCACCCTGGACCCTCTCCCCTGTATGTAAGCCCCTAGTAAAACCCCATGTCCACTTCCTGGCTCTGGGTCTCTTCTTCTACCTCTTGAACCTGTTGCCTTCCCTACTGAGGTTAATAATGGAGGCTGGGCACAAAAACTGGTTTCTCTCACTTTATTGCAGAAGCTGGACTATCCAAGCATCTAAAATTTTGCCCTGTCGATACAGCTTTTTCTACTCTTAAAAACTTGGCTTTGATTCCTGTCATAGGTTGAATAATGGCCATCAAAAAGTATATGTTCAAGTCCTCATTTGTGGAACTTATAAATGTGACTTTATTTGGAAAATGGTCTGCAAGGCTCTTGCAGATTAAGGATCTTGAGATAGTTATTGTCCTAGGTTATCAATGTGGGCCTTAAATCCAATAGCAAGTGTCTTCAGAACAAGGAAGTGTTCTGGGCCTTGAACTCAATCTATCATAAGGTAATAGCACTGCTATTTACATTTGCCCCCCTTTCCCTACAACCTATAACCTTCCTATATTAATGGGCATGGAGATTGGGGTGGCAGGAACGCATTGGCCAGCACACGGTAGCCCCAGCACAAAGGGTGGTTACTGGCTATGGATTTATAAAACCAAAATATCTGTTCTGCTGCTTTTCTTAAAGGAAATTTGGAGAGATGAAGTTGACACTTCTATGGAGTTGTAAATGACACTACTGCAGTTTAGAAAACATGCCACAGAAAACCATGCAACTGAGATAAACATCCAGGAGGTCTAGAGTTAGTTGAAGTTGGAAAACTTGTTTGTTTCTTTGTTTTAGACAAAGTATCACTCTGTCGCCCAGACTGGAGTGCAGTGGCGCAATCTCAGCCCACTGCAACCTCTGCCTCCTGGGTTCAAGCAATTCTTAAGCCTCAGCTTCCGAAGTAGCTGGCATTACCGGCACCTGCCACCCTGCCCAGCTAATTTTTGTATTTTTAGTAGAAACAGGGCCTCACCATGTTGGCCAGGCTGGTCTCGAACTCCTGGGCTGAAGCGATCTGCCCGCCTTGGCCTCCCAAAATCCTAGATGACGGGCCTGAGCCACTGTGCACACCCAGAAAAACTTGTTTCTAAGCAAATGTCAGATATTTCCTGGGGGCTGCCCTGATAGGAAGGACACAAAGTCCAGCAGACTTGCATTAGGGGTATGTGGAAGTGGAGAGTCTTATTACATATAGTGAAGACTGGAAAAATGTGGGCCACACAATCATTGTTCCAACCAAATGTTTCTTGAGGACCTAACATGATTGGCATTTACCAGTGTCTAAAAGACAAATATATGCCCCATATACATAATTAGAACTGGTCTCTACCCTTAAAAATGGGGTCAGTAATTTGAACTATGAGTTACTAAATATTATAGATGTTATGCTAGAAGTCTCTATAGGGTACAGTGGGAATAAGATAAAAAGGAGGTAGAAAACTCAATGGGAGAATGACACTAGTTCCTGCATTCTCCATGGGGGTGGTATAGCCCCACAAGAGGGTGAAGATTGTTTCATGGGTGGATGTGGCAGCAAAAAACCATAATTGCATTTTAATAGCTTGTGGCTCTCCAAAGGGCTGCATTACATAAGCCAATATAAAGCACACCTGTGTTACTAAAATTTCATAGTGGCAGTTCCAAAAAGTCTTAAGTCTGCTGGGGGGTGTCAGTAATGAATAAAAGTGGTTGGGAAATCTTTAAAGAAGAGGGCTTATTCCCTAGACAATGGAGAGTGGGAAGAAGCAGCAACAGCATAGCACTGAGCAAGCCTAACTGAGGGCAATGGAACGGCATCACTGGGGCTAGGAGGGAGTGGGATTCTTCAGGAAGATTAGTCAGCCTGGAGAGGTGGGTTCAAAGAGACGGCAACAAGTGATAACCCTGGGGAGGCAGATGGACCTGATTCCACTCTGACATTTCTCAGAACAGCTGGGACTGCTATGTTGGATTCAAGGCTAAGACATGTGCTAACAAGAGCTGGGATTGTCAACAAGCCTTGCTGCCAAGGCTTTCCCTTTGGCTTTGACCCGTCTGACGTTGATATTGGCTGGTCCATACCAGATTAGCTCTGGACCCCTCCTGTCAACAGATCATTGTTTGTTTCCACCAGTTAACACTATTTGTTTCTGGACCAAAGTTGTCTCCCTCCTCTCTTTGCAGACCTTATGACTAGGGAGGCCAGCCATCCCATTCTGCCCAGGACATGGGACTTTGAGTGTTAAAACCAGGATGGTCCAGGGCAAACCGGGTGGCTGGGTTACCCTGCTTAGGACTGAGACTACATCCTTTTGTTCTGCAACAGGTCAGACGTTTGACAACCGAGCATCTTTTCCCTCATGTCCTACACCCCACCATTCAAGCCCTTGTCCTGTTGCTGCTTAGAGCAGCAATTCTCAACCACGGCTGCAAATGAGAATCACCTGGAGAACTTTTACAATCCCTGCTGCTTAGGGCACACCCTAGGACAATTAAATCAGCATGTCTTGGAGTAGAACCAGGCATCTATATTTTTTAAAAGCCTCCCAGATGATTCCCATATATAGCCAAGGTGGAAACCATTGGCTTAGAGCAGCAACAGTGATTAACTATTAATGTAAAATAACCATCACTGAGTTGACTCTAATTTGGAGGGACTGTCACTTTTTTAACCTTGGAGATTTAACACATATGCCTCAATATTAGGGTCATGAGTACATTGGTCTGTCAATACTTTGGAAATTAGTCATTAAGTCAATAGTTTAAACTGAAATTAGACATAGAAACACTTTTTTTCTAGTACCTATATGTCTGGTTTTTATCTCTGCATATATTCCTTTTTGGCAGGTTAGAATTAATGAAACAAGGCAGGCTCCTTTTGCAGGAGTTTACATCACATGAAAAGGATCTCAGATTTAAAATCAACCATAATACTTAAAACTAATGGTTTACTGCTGTTAGCAGCTGGTAGGCCTCTCTGAAGCTGGCATGAGTAATCTCTAATCATTCCCATCAATAACCTTCCCTGTGGTGGTGTCCCTGGGGATGCTGTCACCATTTGGAAAGATCGCCCATCTATTTGAATGGTTAGCATTCATGGAACCGCTTGCTAACATATGAAAGAAATAAAGGAATTAGTTTACAGCTGAAGCGCAGACTCACAAAACGTTAGCTTTGAGAACAGCTACTTAGGCATTGCACTAAAGCCCACTGAATATTCCTGGGACCTTCCATAAAGTCAATCTTATTAGCATGTTTTGTTTGTATTATCTAGCAACAACCTAAAACAAAGACAGAGAAACCTCAGCCCCTTGTAACTACAAGTGTATCTGATTTGAGCTTGAGTCTGATTCAGAGTATTTGAAAACGTTTTTCTTAAGGATTTTTTTTAAACCAATGGGATTTAAGTGGGAAATAAACATAGTAGTGTTTGTCTTCCTCTATGAAGAGGAAAAGCGTGACTATTTTGTAATGATAATATTTTGAAAACTATTCAACTATTGCATTTAATGGGAGCACATCCCTAGTCTCTGGCTGCCCCTTGGTTTCATGTGAACTAGTCTGAAGCACTCAAATTGTTCACCTATAAAGGAGAGAACATGAGGCCTCCACCCTGAGGAAAAAGAGCATCTCTCAATAGACTGGAAGAAACAGGTAGAGAATCTGACCCTGCTGATCACTGAATGTATAAAAAACAGAGACACCCTCTCTTCCTCCTCCACCATTGTGGTGTGCGCTTGACTCCGCTTCTCGCCATGTCTTCTCACAAGACTTTCTGGATTAAGAGATTCCTGGCCAAGAAACAAGCAAAATCATCCCATTCCCCAGTGGATTCGGACAAAAACTGGTAATAAAATCAGGTACAACTCCAGAAGGAGACTTTAGAGAAGAACCAAGCTGGGTCTATAAGGAACTGCACTGAAATGACACACGTATTTATGCTATCTGAAGTTCACAATCACGTTACCATATCAAGCTGAAAATACCACTATCTGAAGAGTTGGACATGTTTTATTGGGAGTATATGTTTTCAGTCTGAATCTGTTATGAATATGTTGGTTGGCTGGGTTCAGTAATAAATATGAGACCTTTCATTTAAAAAACAGATGAGGCAAAGAAAGGGGTCTCATGTCCTCATGGGTGTCTCTGGGCCAAAATCCTGGGAAGGGGTGGGGACTAGAAAGGGTCTGAGTATTCTAGTCATAGTACTTCCTTCAGAGTCTCATAGTCACTGTCCCTTCCAGGGTCCAATTAGCCCTGTGAATTGTGGATGACAAAGAGAGCGGGACAGTGCCAAGTGACTATGAAAAATCTTGGCCTTCATATGTTTTGGCTGATGTGAGCGGTTTGTGTAATAGAAGCCACATTGCTGATATTGGTTCATCAGAGCTGTATGTTGTGTGAGTCTCTATAGCCACTACAGTATATTAAATCCAGAGCATGGGGGCAGGACAAATATAATATAATATAATATAACATAAAGCAGTCCTGGCCCCTGTTCCACATGGGATGTGCACAGCAGCAGACGACAGAAGAATATCGTGATGGGGCAGATAAGGGACAACATATTGGAAACTAGCAGGCCCAGAAGACAGCACGGGGCCCCATGCACTGGAGCAAGGACATCATTCTCATCACTCCCAGGAGGTCAGTTGAGCCCCATCATGCGCCCTCAGGTCATCATTGGTAGAGCAATGGAAAGAGGAGGAAATGTAAAAGGCTGAGTAATTATCTGAAGGGAGACTGTGTTATCTTAATGACACGGTTTAACCAGAAGAAGTTGAAATACATTGACTAAGTTAGTGCTTCTCACCACCACTGCCCCTCCCTCTGCCCCAAACCCACCCCAGTCAGGACTCAGAGGAACATGAGAAAGGTTAGATCAGTTATACAGAAACGAAAACTACGTCTTCAACAGAATCAGCAGAAAATGAATTCTGTTTCTCACTATGTGACTGTGGGCAAGTCATGCATGTATTTACTCACAGGTACCCTGTACTTGGTATCAGACCAGGCGCTGGCAATACAGCGAAAAGTGTCTTTAGATAGGCCATCCACTGTCCCCACTTCCCTCGATCTCTCTCTCCTCTTTCAAAACCTAGGGCCTGGAGTCAATATTTCTTAAATCTTTTCTCTACCTCAAAAGCAGTTTTGTTTTTTTTTTTTCCTTTAACTTTTAAAAAAGGTATACTTAGGGAGGCCAAGGTGGGTGGATCACAAGGTCAAGAGATAGAGGCCATCCTGGCCAACATGGTGAAACCCTGTCTCTACTAAAAATACAAAAATTAGCTGGGCGTGGTGGCACATGCCTGTAGTCCCAGCTACTTGGGAGGCTGAGGCAGGAGAATCGCTTGAACCCAGGAGGTGGAGGTTGCAGTGGCTGAGATCGGGCCACTGCACTCTAGCCTGGGTGACAGAGCGAGATTCCATCTCAAAAAAAAAAGTATAAAATACATTTCACTCTTGAGGATTAAAGAGTGGATAATTATAGTTAAGACTACAGGTGTTCTGGTGAGTTTACTTTTTCTTCCCAAAAAAATCAAAAGTTTTTGAAATAAGCTCCCCTAGTATATATTAACCTCAATATTAGCATTTCCATCTCCCCAGTGTCACTTTCCTTGTCATATATCTGGGGGAAGGGAATCATCTCACTTTTTCCTCCTGCTTTGCTGGCTGCCTGTTTCATATGGTGGGCTTCTCTGCACCTTTACCTCAGTCTCACCCACGAACTGTCACTCATGTTTCTCAGTGTCCTTGTTTCTTAGATCATTTCCACTATCCCAAAGATCCCAAGTACCACTTACCCAAAAACGTGTGCAGTTTATATAATTCATTGCAAGACTTGAATAAATGAAAAGATTGGAGGGAGGACACTTAAGCATTTGATTAGACACCTGCTTACATTCACCCCCGCCCCATTACCATGAGCATTGCTTCTCTGTCTTGAAATCTACCTCATGCTCCCACTGCCAGAGAATCGTGATGCTCAAAGTTTACCTGTGAGATCTCTTAACCTCTTTAGAAAAGTTTTAGCCCCTATCCAGAGAGGCTTTTTTTTAAAAGATTCATTTTACTCTCCCAATCGGGGAATCTGGGACACTAAAATGCTCCCAAAATACATTTCCCCAATTGTGAATTATTCAGTGTGTTGTAATAAAATGTGCAAAAGGTTGGCCAAGAATAATATAAAGCACTTCAAGTCCAGCGGCACCTCCTAGGAAAATGTTTATGTTCTAGGGTTAAGCTTTCTACACCACTGTAATGTGGACATATATAGCCTTCTCTTCTTTTTCAGGAACTTTGTCAGATCGAAGACTTGTACTTCCATGGTAGCAACACGAAACAACAGGATGGGGAAAAAATATCAGTTATGTATAGTGCTATTAAAGAGTGGGGATTAAAGGAAGTCTTAATAAATTTCAGAGGATGACTTCTTCTTAGGCAAGAGAGACACATGGCAGTTTCAGTACCCGGGGGCAATAGTCCGATGTTCCCTAACAAAAATTTAACCTACCCAAATGCCCACTAGCAGGAGAATGCTTAAACACATCATGGTAAAATCATACCACGGAATATTATTCCATAATACAAAACAAAGTACTGATGCATGCGATGTTACAGATTAATCTCAAAACCATTATGCTGGGTGAAAGAAGTCAGACGTAAGAGTGTGTGCTGTAAAATTCCATTCTTTCTGAAATCGAGGAATAGATGAGTCTCCTTTATGTTCATAGAAATAAGAAGAGTAGTTGCCTATGTAACAGGGATGGACTGGAAGGAGGCTTGAGGGAACTTTCTCAGTTGATAGAATTGTTTCATATCTTGTTTGAGGTGTCATTGACACATGTATGCATTTGTCAAAGTGTCAAATCACAATAATGTGCATATCACTCTATATATAAATATATTGCATGTTTATTGTGCATTTCACTAAGTAAATTATACCTCAATTTCAAAGAATATATTTCAAAAATCATAACTTTTCCTTAGATATACAATGTCCTCTAAATTGCTTTTGAAAACATATTCTAGGTTGGGTGCGGTGGCTCATGCATGAAATCCCAGCACTTCGGGAGCTCCGAGGTGGGTGGATCACGAGGTCAGGAGTTCGAGACCAGCCTGACCAACATGGTGAAACCCCGTCTTTACTAAAAATACAAAAATTAGCTAGGCGTAGTGGCACGCGCCTGTAATCCCAGCTACTCAGGAGGCTGAGGCAGGAAAATCTCTTGAACCTGGGAGGCAGAGGTTGCAGTAAGCCAAGATTGCACCACTGCACCCCAGCATGGGTGACAGAGCAAGACTCCATCTCAAAAAAGTAAAAAACAAAAAAACCCGTATTCTTCATAACACTTTGCAGTGTTGTGAGAGGCCCATGATAAGCACTTAGCAGATGCATTTGAACACACAGAATCTGTAGCCTTTCTGGTCTGACATCTATGATGGCATTTCTGACCCCATGTCCTTATTCAGTGAACCCGTGTGATAGGGCCAGTGGGGGCAGTTCAAGGAGCACAGATGGGAAAAAGGCTACTGTCTGAGATGAAGCATGTCACTTATATGCCATACTATCTGCTGGCACATCCCTAGGTGTACATATTTGTTCATAATGGTAATCAAGGCTTAACAGGTGGAAGATTTTTACTACTCTTAAAACTCAGCTAAGAGTTAACTTTCCAAAACCCCAGCTTCCTGATCAGAGAGGCAAAGTCATCATAAGCTCAGATAAACCAACAGCCCGTGGACACTCCCTTGTTCTATAAAAACTCTAAATCTGATACAAATAATGAAACTGGATAGAGACATAAAGGTTAGTTGTTTCTTGATCAGCAAAACTAGACTCTGCTTTCTTTTCTGCTGTAGCCTTCTGGAGGTGAGACCCGGGAACACCAGGCAGAAAAAGCAGGAAGATCATTCTTCAGGGAGCTTGTGTGCCTGCCTGAAAAGCTGGCTAGGCATTCATCAATTGACAGGTACACTATTTCCTCTGTGAAAAGTAGCCCATAAATGCAATAAATCTTTTCTTAATGCAGTGACAAAGGGTTGAGAATGAACTTCAGTTTTCAGTCTCTGAAACAAAAGTTCACGGAATTCCATGTGGTCTAAGGGGAAGGAGTAGCGGTCAGGCAGGAGGTGAGGAGACATCTGTTGGGAATGTTTTTTCTCACTTGTCTGAGAGATTTTCCAGAAGTTAGTCTTTGTCTCATGCCCTGAACATCCAAATGCACAAGTATAAACTGGAAATGCTGCAGCCTTCGTGCTAAGCTTGAGACTAACATCAGTACAGGGAGGAAGATGCCATCCAGAGAAGCACAGAGAAACAGGCCAAGACCATTAGATTAGGTCTAACTTAGAGGCCACTCTTCCGACTCTCCAATCTTGTGAGCCAAAAACAGTCATTATTGTTTATGCAAATCTCAGCTTTTTTCTTCTTAGGTGCCAAAGAATCCCACCTCATATTGTACTGACTATGTATTTGTTGAAATCACATATGGTATTTTCCTGAAAATTCAGATACGTTTTGGAAAAGATTGATTATAATTGTTACATATGCTCTAAAGATGCTCTCCTCTATATTCTGTGAAAAGGTATTTTTAAGTCAACATATGGAACAATAATAACCTTGTGTTCAGAGTGAGCATGAGAAAGAATGTGAGGATTACTTCCTAAGTAGCTTATATTGTATAAGACTTTGCTAATGAGTTTGCCAGAATTACCTAAAACTATGTTAGTGATATCTAATCTGTAATTACAGTGTTCTTGGAGAGCCCTTGCGTGTCATACAAACTGGTCACTCACTGACTAGAATCATATGGTCTCTTTTTGAGCAACGGTTCTTCTTACAAATCCTACAGGATGAAGATAGCAGTGGGGATCAGGAAAACCCATCACCTTGGTGCATATGGAAGCTATCGCAGGCACCTCAACTGCAGTGCCTGTTTTTCACAGCATGAGTTCACTTCCCTTAATCATACTTTATGCTCTCCAAAAATAATGTGGAGGAAGCATACATTATGTACTTAAAGATACACCATCTGTTTTCTTTCTCTGCCAAGAGAGGAATTCCTTACTAAAATGAAAGCCTCGGGTCATCATAGGAAGCAGAAAGCTAAGATGAATGCCTTTTCTTTTTTTCACCACAAACATAAGTATAAACTCTTTCCCATGGCCATTCAATAAAACAGGTGAATATGCTTAACTTTCACACACAGGCCATTAACTAAAAGCAAACTCAAACAGCCAAAGATTCCATAACACAAAGGTCGTGCTTCTGACTGAACAACAGGAACAAAAACTGGAATTTTGAAATTACTGCTAATAGATTATGAGGTCCTCTAGGGCAAAAAGTAAGTCTTATTAATCTTTTTATCTCCCAAGCGTAGCTCTACCAGGCATGGAGCAGGTACAGTAAATGCTCAGCAAATGTATAAAAATACAAAGAACTACTTCTTTGGTGAAATAATATATTAGGCCAGTGATTTCAACTGCTGCACATTAAAATCATCTGAGTCACTGCTAAACTATAAAGGTGGCTAAGATTATTCCCAGACCAATTACATCAGAACACAATCTGCACAGGTGAGTCTTACAAGGTAGCCATCTTTATATTTAGCCTATATGAAGGAAATTTTCTAAAAAACTAGGTTCATGGGTCCATGTGCAGGTTTGTCATATAGGAAAATTATGTGTCACAGGAGTTTGACATACAGATTACTTCACCACCCAGGTAACCAGCATAGTACTTAAGAGGTAGACTTTTGATCCTTTCCCTCTTTACCCTCTATCCTCAAGTGGGTCTCAGTGTCTGTTGATCCCCTCTTTGTGTTCACGTGTTCTCATCATTTAGCTCCCACTTATAAGTGAGAACATGCAGTATTTGGTTTTCTGTTCCTGCATTAGTTCATTTAGGATTATACCCTCCAGCTCCATCTACATTCCTACCAAGGATATGATCTCATTATTTTTTATGGCTATATAATATTCCATAGTATATACATACCACATTTTCCTTATCCAGTCTACCATTAATGGGCATTTAGGTTGATTCTATAGCTTTGCTACTGTGAATAGTGCTGTAATGAACATTTGCTTGCATGTGTCTTTATGGTGGAAAGATTTGAATTCCTTTTGGTATGTACCCAGCAATGGGATTGCTGGGTTGAATGTTATTTCTGCTTCTAGATCTTTGAGGAATCACCACACTGTCTTCCATAATGGTTGAACTAATTTATATTCCCACCAGCATAGTTTAAGCATTCCCTTTTCTTCACAACCTCACCAGCATCTGTTATTTTTCGACTTTTTAATAATAGCCTTCCCCCTCTCAACGGGTGTGAGATGGTGTCTCATTGTGGTTTTGATTTCCATTTCTCTAATGATTAGTGATGAGAGTTTTTTCATATGCTTGTTGGCTGTAGGTATGTCTTCTTTTACAAGTGTCTGTTCATGCCCTTTGCCCACTTTTAATGGGGTTGTTTTTTACTTGTAAATTTGTTTAAGTTCCCTATAGATTCTGGATATTAGACCTCTGTTAGATACACAGTTCACAGATATTTTGTCCCATTCCGTGGGCTCTTTTCTCTGTTGATAGTTTCTTTTGCTGTGCAGAGGCTTTTTGGTTTAATTAGGCCCCATTTATCAATTTTTGTTTTTGTGGCAAATTTTGTTTTGTTTTGTTGCAATTGCAGTTGGCATCTTTGTCATATATTCTTTTCCAAGTCCTCTGCACGGAGAGATATTTCCTGGGTTATCTTCTGGAGTTTTTGTAGTTTTATGTTTTACATGTAAGTCTTTAATCTGTCTTCAGTTGATTTTTTTATGTGGTGTAAGGAAGGGGTGCAGTTTCAATCCTCTGCATAAGGCTAGCCAGTTATCCCAGCACCATTTGTTGAATAGGGAGTACTTTCCCCATTGTTGGTTTTGTTGACTTTGTTGAAGATCAGATGGTTGTAGATGTGTGGCTCTATTTCTGGGCTTTCTATTCTTTTCCCTTGGTCTATATGTCTGTTTTTGTACCAGCACCATGCTGTTTTAGTTTCTGTAGTCCTGTAATATGGTTCAAAGTCAGGTAACATGATGCCTCCAGCTTTGTTCTTTTTGCTTAGGATTGCCTTGGCTATTTGAGCTCTTTTTGATTCCATATGAGTTTTTAAATAGTTTTTTTCTAATTCTGTGAAGAATGTCATTGGTAGTAGGATAGGAACAGCATTAAATCTGTAAATTGCTTTGGGCAGTATGTCATTTAAAAAATATTGTTTCTTCGTATTCATGAGCATGGAATGTTTTTCCATTTGTTTGTGTTTTCTCCAATTTCTTTGAATAGTGTTTTGTATTTCTCATTGTAGAGGTCTTTTACCTCCCTGATTAGCTGTATTCCTAGGTATTAACTCTTCTTCTATCATAAATGGGATTGCATTCTTGATTGGGCTCTCTGCTTAACTGTAGTTGATGTGTAGAAATGCTACTGGTTTTCGTGCATTGATTTTACATCCTGACGCTTTGCTGAAGTAGTTTATCGGATCTAGGAGCTTTTGGGCGGAGACAATAGGGTTTTCTAAGAATAGAATAATATTATCTGCAAATAGAGATAGTTTGACTTCCTCCTCTCTTTTTATCTGGATGCTTTTTCTTTCTCTTGCCTGATTTCTTTGGGTAGGACTTCCAGTACTATGTTGAGTAAGAGTGATGAGAGTGGCCATCCTTGTCTTATTCCACTTCTCAAAGGGAATGCTTCTAACTTTTGTCCATTCAGTATGATGTTAGCTGTGGGTTTGTCATAGACAGCTCTTATTGAGTTACTTCAGTGCTTTCTTTGTTGAGGGTTGTTAACATGAAAGGATGTTGCATTTTATTGAAAGCCTTTTCTGCATCTATTGATATGATCCTGTGGTTTTTAAGTTCTGTTTATGTGGTAAATAACATATTGATTTGCATATGTATATTAAGCCAACTTTGCATCCCAGAAGTAAAGCCTACTTGATCATAGTGGATTAGCTTTCTGATGTGCTGCTGAATTCAGTTTACTAGTATTTTGTTCAAGGTTTTTGCATCTATGTTCATCAAAAATATTGGCCTGAAGTTTTCTTTTTTTGTTGTGTCTCTGCCAGGTTTTGGTATCAGGATGATGCTGGCCTCAGTAAGAGAGGAGTCCTTCCTCTTCTTTCTTTTCTTTCTTTCTTTCTTTCTTTTTTTTTTTTTTTTTTTTTTGGAATAGTTTCAGTGGGAATGTTACCAGCTCTTTTACAACAATTCAGCTATGAATCTGTCTGGTCCTGGGCTTTTCTGATTGGTAGGCTTTTTATTACAGATTCAGTTCTGAAACTAATTATTATTCTGTTCAAGGACTTAACTTCTTCCTGGTTCCATCTTAGGAGGTTATATGTTTCCAGGAATTTATCTATTTCTTCTAGATTTTCTAGCTTTTGTGTGTAGAGGTCCTCATAGGAGTTTGAGGGTTTTTGTATCTCTTTTGGGTCGCTGGTAACATCCCCTTTGGCATTTCTGACTGTGTTTATTTGGCTTCTGTCTCTTTTTTACTTTATCAGTCTGGCTAGCAGTCTATCAATCTTATTTACTTTTTCAATAACAAACTCTTGAATTTATTAATCTTTTGTATAGTTTTTGACATCTCACTTTCATTCAGGTCAGCTCTGATTTTGGTTATTTTTCTTCTATTAGCTTTTAGGTTGGTTTGCTCTTGTTTCTCTAGTTCCTCTAGGTGTGATGTCAGATTGTTAATTTGAGATATTTCTAACTTATTTTGGTGTGTAGTGCTGTAAACTTTCCTCTTAACAGTGTTTTAGCCATGTCCCATAAATTCTGGTATGTTGTATCTTCATTCTCATTAGTTTCAAAGAATTTCTTGATTTCTGCCTTAATTGTTTACCCAAAAGTCATTCAGGAGCATGTTTAATTTCCATGTAATTCTCTGGTTTTGAGCCATTTTCTTACCTATTGATTTCTATTTTTATTGCACTGTTGTCTGAGAGTGTGTTTAGTATAATTTCATTTTTTTTTTTAATTTGCTGAGGATTGTTTTATGGCCAATTGTGTGGTTAATTTCACAGTATATGTCATGTGCAAATGAGAAGAATGTATATTCTTTTGTTTTGGGGTGAAGAGTTCTGTAGATGTCTATTAGGCCCATTTGGTCAAATGTCAATTTCAGATTCTGAATATCTTTGTTAATTTTCTGCCCCAAACAATCTAATACTGTCTGTGGGGTGTTGAAGTCTCCTGCTACTATTGTCTGGTTATCTTAGTCTCTTCATAGGTTCCTAAGAATTTGTTTTACAAATCTAGGTGCTGCTGTGGTGAGTGAATATTTATTTAGGATAGTTAGGTCGTCTTGTTGAGTTGAACCCTTTATCATTATGTAATGTCCTTCTTTGACTTTTTTTATCTTTGTCAGTTTAAAGTCTGTCTGAAGTTAGAATAGCAGCCTCAGCCTTTTTGTTTTCTGTTTGCTTGGTAGATTTTTCTCCATCCCTTCACTTTTAGCCTATGGGTGTTACTGCATGTGAGATGGGTCTCTTGTAAACAGCATGCAGTTGGGTCTTACATCTTTATTCCACTTGCCACTCTGTGCCTTTTTATTGGGTCATTTAGCCCATTTACATTGAAGGTTAATATTGACATATGCAGGTTTGATTTTGTCATCATGTTATTAGCTAGTCATTAAGCAGATTTGGTTGTTTGGCTGCGTTATAGTGTCAATGGTATAGGTACTTAAGTGTGTTTTGTGGTGGCCAATAATGAAAATGGAAATATAGAAAATATCTTTCCTTTCCATATATAGCACTCCCTTAAGGATCACTTGTAAGGCAGGTGCGGTGGAAACAAATTCCCTTAGCATTTTCTTGTCTAGAAAAGGGTCTTATTTCTTCTTTGCTTATGAAGCATAGTTTGGCTGTATATGAAATTCTTGGTGGAAATTTCTTTTCCTTAATAATGCTGAATATTAAGGAAAAGAGCCCCCAGGCTCTTTTGGCTTGTAGGGTTTCTGCTGAAAGGTCCTCCACTGGTAGCCTGATAGAGTTCTCTTTGTAAGTGACCTGTCCCTTCTCTCTAGCTGCCTTTAATATTTTTTCTTTCATTTCAACCTTGAAGAATCTGAAGACTAGGTATCTTGTGAATGATCATCTTGTATAGTATCTCACAAGGGTTCTCTACATTTTCTGGATTTGAATGTTGGCCTCTCTAGCAAGGTTAGGTAAATTTTCATGGATGGATATCCTCAAATACATTTTTCAAGTAACTTGCGTTCTCTCCTCCTCTTTCAGGGATACCGATGAGTCACATATTTGGGCTTTTTAAATAATCTCATATTTCTTGGAGTTTTGCCCATTCTTCTTTGTTTTTTCTTTATTTTTTTCTGACTCAGTTATTTTGGGGAACCGGTCTTTAAGCTCTGAGATTCTTTCCTCAGCTTGGTCCATTCTGCTGTTAATGCTTCCAGTTGTGTTATGAAATTCTTAAAGTGAGTTTTTCATCTCTATCAATTCAGTTTGCTTCTTTCTTAAAATGGTCATTTTGTCTTTTTTTCTCCAGTATTGTTTTATTGTATTTCTTAGATTCTTCAGATTGGGTTTTGACTTTCTCCTGTCGATGATTTCATTCCTATCCATATTCTGAATTCTATTTCTGACCTTTCAGTTATTCCAGCCTGGTTAAGAACCATTGCTTGGGGACTAGTGCAGTTGTTTGGAGGTAAGAAGACACTCTGGCTTCTTTAGTTGCCAGAGTTCCTGTACTGGTTTTCTCTCATCTGTGTATGCTGACGTTCCTTCAATCTTCGAAGTTGGTGCTGTCCTTTGCTTTTTTTGTTGTTTGTTTTTATATTTTTTGATGCCCTTGGAGGTTAGGTTGTGGTATAGGGTAGGTTTAGTTGTCTGGCTTCGATTCTACTCCACTCCTATGTCTTAAAGGAGCCCTCTCCCATTACTATCTTTGTGCCCGTGTTTCTTTTATTGGCTGTTCTGGTCCATGTGGCTCTCTCAGGCAGGGGCTGCAGTTGGCAGATAACCTGTATCCTTGTTGGGTTAGCCCTAATCTTCTGTCCAAGTGCTTCCCAGAGAAACACAAGATTGTGCCAGCACACAGAGCTCAGGCAGTGGTAGGACTACGGGGCAGGAAGCTTTAGCAGGTGGGTCCCATCTGGCTACAAGAAGCAGGGGTGACTGAAGTTGCCTGCCCTGCCATCCAGGTGTTTCTGGGGAAACAGGAGGCTGTGCCCTTTAGCAAATTCAGGTAAATGCAGGGCTGCTGGGCTGAAAGTTTTAGCAGATGTGGCTTGTCCAGCTAGGAGAGGTGGGGGTAGGTAGAGTCACCCACCCTGCCATCTGGGTGTTTCCCAGGATAACAGGAGGCTGTGCCCACTGGATAAGTTCAGATAGAAGTGGGACCACTAAGTTGGAAGCTCTAGCAGGCATTGCCCTTCTGGCTACCAGCAGCAGGTATGGGTGGGGTCACCTGCCCTGCCATCCAGGTGCTTCCCAGGACAAAAGGAGGCTGTGCCCACTGGCTGAGTTTAGACAGAGGAGAGATTGCTGAGCTGGAAACTCTAGCAGGCATTGCCCACCTGGCTTCCAGCAGTGGGGGTGAGCAGGGCCACCTGCCCTGCTGCCTGGGTGTTTCCTGGTAAAACAGGGGGCTGCACCTACTAGCTGAGTTCAGAAAGAAGCAGGACCACTGAGCCAGAAGCTGGCACTGAGCCCCATCCGGCAAGAGGATGAAGCAATCTTACTGCCCCCAGGCACTATGACTGCAGCCTCTGCTGGGGCTGTGGCATTGGTGCTGGCCTGCTCAAGGGCCAAAGGCTTATAGGGGTCTTCCTGGACTCAGGACTTGTCCCTGCAAAATATCCAGGTAGCTCTCTGTCTCAGTCTAGAAGCAGAGTGGAGTCGTGGGGGTTGAGGGGCAGGGGTATTCTCCCATTTCCAGTCTTGTACAGGTTCCTGTGGACAGCACGAATTCCCCCAGGAGGCTCTCACTAACTCACCATTTCCTGTGTTGAAGAGGTTCTCCTGGCACCACGCTGAACACAGATAGGCTGGTGCCCAGCTTCTCTTCTCTCTGTTCTCTGGGTCCCCCTGTTGCCTTCATGGATCAAGATGTGGTTTCTCAGATGATCAGCCTGCAGGGTCACTGTTCACTAGCCCTTTTGTTTCCTCTTGGTAAGAGCATAAGAGCTGAGCACATGAGCCTACTTCCAGTCTGCCATCTTGGTCCCTCTCTCCAGGAAAATGTCTTAACAATTATGTCCTTTGTAGTTTATCTTAGTTTGTTTGTGCTGCTGTAGGAAAATACCATAAGACTGGCTAACTAATAAAGAATAGAAATCTATTTCTCAAGTTCTGGAGACCGGAGAGTCCAAGATCAAGGTGCCAGAAGGTTTTATGTCTGATGAGGACCTGGTCTTTGATTTCAAGAGGGCACCTTGTCGCTGTATCCTCTGGAGGGGATGAATGCTGTGTCTCCACATGGAAAAGTGAGGAAGGGACCAACAGCTCCCTCACACCTCTTTTATAAGGGTGCTAATTGCCTCCTAATACTTATCATCGCTTAATACTAACAAATTGGTGATTATGTTTCAATATATGTATTTTGAGGATATATTCAGACCATTGTAATCCCCTTCCAGTTCATGGCATCCATATCAAGAAAAATTTTTGGTTAAGTAATAGAACCAATTGTTAAATCAAAATTGGATATTAGTTATGAAATTTGAGAAATAATTTTGAAATTTTGAAATTTTGAAGTCCCTTAAATTAATCACAGCAAGCATTTCAGCAAAACTCCGGAATACTGTGAAAATCAATTGATTGCCATCCCTCTCAGATTAGACCAAACTTCATACATGGGATGTTTAATGAAAATAGTTGGTTTTATAGCATTTGCAGAACTTGAACGCTAACTCAGAGGATTTGTAGTCTTTCAAATTGCTGAGGTTCACCCATCCTGAAAATTATACTTTTTAATAAAACCTCTGAGAACAAATGCTGGTTTATTACAAAACACTAAACATACATATGAATCAGATCACTTTGTCCCTTTCCCTTAATATAAGTTTTAACTCCTGGTAAAATGTCTGAGAAGCCCTGTTCTAGACTAAGTAAATCCCGACCACTCACCATCTCAAGTTCTCTGTAGACCAGGTTCTGTGCACACAGAGGAATTGCGTTCATATGAATTGCTTGGAACTCAGCAAAAACTGCACTCAAATAGAAGCCCTTAAAATAAGAAATCTTTGCCTTTCCATCATCTGCCTTAAGAGTAGGCTTTATGGCAGAGGCTCACAATCCCCAAAACATTTCATGTCTCTGGAGAAGAAGACATCTTTCCCCGCCCCCGCCCCCCACCCCATTTTGCCTTTGGCTCAGGAGTGACTACCCTGCATTACGTTGTGTAAAGGTCTAGCATGTCAGGTGGGACTGAGAGCACAGCCCACGCTCCCAGTCATTGCTGAGTCTTCTTGCTCTGAAATGAATAAAGGGAGATACTCCCCTACATGAACTCATGGGAGAACTGACAAGTGCTTAGCCTGGAAACAGTTTTCCCTCTTTTTCAAGCTCTGAACTTGGCTCTTTTAGGGGATCTCCAGTAGAGGCAGCCCTATTAAGAAACATGCATTTCTAAGGTTAGCACGTTAATGAACCAATCTGTTCTGCTCTTCTCACCTTTCTAAGCCTTCTAAGAGAAATAAGAATTGTCTCTTCTGTACTCACCATTTTCTAATCCACCCCACAAAATCCCATTGTGAAATAGTTTTTGACAGCTCCCTGATATATTCAAGGTGTACTCTCTGTTCAGTTTTGGAATTTCACCTGCCAACTGGTATTTCTTTGGATTTTATAGGAATAGCCTCGAAATAGGTTTATGAACATTATATTAGGAAATTTGCATATTTCAACACAAAAGATAAATTCATCCAGGAAATATATACAGCAGAGCTTGTCTTTATATCCTCTGAGTATTCAGCTCCCCCAGCATTAAAGAGAATACTGCATAAACAGTGCAAGATGGAACAAAGAGACTTCAGCAGCTTGTATAACTCATTATACACAGATGCCCCATCACCCCCCAAAAAATTTGTCTTTACCTTATTAAGTCCAAACTTTTGTAATTAAAATATTTTTGGTTCTAAACATTAGTTAAAACATTTCTTCCTTTTCCCTCCATGCTTGTAATACGTACCAGTTAGGATTTTGGAGGAATGAGATATGTTGACAGCATGTCATGTTCCTACCATAGCTCCTGTATGTAGTTGGAGATCTATAAATGTTACCCTTCCCCTCCTGAAACATAGAGGATTGAGAAGAACTTCATAGAGGAAGGAGCATTTTAGTGGAACTTTAAAAGAAGTTCTTTTCTTGAAGTTGGAAATGGAGAGAATTCCATGTAGAGGCAAGAATTAAGCAAATTCAAATGCGTATGGAAGTAACCAGAAACAATAAGTATCATGTTGCAGGATACATCTAGAAATAGTGAGAAATGACTCTTGTAGGACAGGCTGCAGGTACTTTGTAATGAAAGTATCTCTTGCAATAAAGCAATCTTAATCTAACTTTAGAAGGATGAATTTTTTTTACATTCTAACAATATAGGTAATATTCTAAGTCCTTTCTTAGTACTATGAACATTTGTATTTGGAGATTTCTATTTGCCTAAGAAAATGAAGAACTGTTCTTTAGGATTGAGCAAGTCTATTCTGCAGTAAGGCAAATGACAGCCTTTTCAGGTCACCTTTCCATGGGCTTAGGTCTAAAAAATTGCAGCAATTATATCATTTCATCCCAAGATTGTTCTTTTTCACAAAGCTTGCTGCTGATGGGGAGATATGATTTCAAAAAATTTGAGACAGAATGAGTACTGGACTAGCACAGAGCAGGACCTAGCAGTTAGAAAGTCTTTAGTAATTTATTTTCTTTGACATAAAATTAATTGATTTTAGTCTTGCTCTAGCAGTTGTGGCCCATCCCTGCTACTAATTGTCTAAGTGCCTTTGGGTAAGTCTTGCAAAAATTCTTTAAGCCTCACTTTCCTCCTTTGGGAAAAAAAAAAAAAAACTGAGATTATAATAACAAAGATGCTGAGAGGTTAACATTGGAGGAAATATATGAAAGAACCAAGTCTAATCTCTGGCCATACAGAGCAGATAGATAACGAAAGGTGATTGGCTCACGAAAACTACAATCCATGATTCCAGGGTCAAGCAACACTGTGGATTGGAGCTCCTATTAGACCCCCTATGCCAAATCGCAACCAGATGGTCTTTAAGGATTCTGCCAAGGCAGTACATTTTCTTTTAATCATTTTCTTCCTTTTTTTTTTTTATTGGAGCTTAGTGATGAGTGTTCTTTATAAATTTATTCTTTCTGACCTGGCTCAGAGAAAGGAAATGAAGTAAAAATAACATAATACAATAAAAAATAACATAATAAAATTAAAATGTTAAAAATTAAACAAAAAAATAAAAAAACATACAACCACCTCTTCATTCTGTTGGGAAGATTTGTACCCTGGCCTCTATTCTCATCTGTAGAATGGAGAATATAATCAGGTGGGTGTCCAAGCATCTTTCCAGCTCTAATTCTCTGAACCACATTTTATAGTAAACAAGACAGGTACAGTTAACTCTTGATCAGCATGGGTTTGAACTGTGTGGGTCTACTTATATGCAAATTTTCCTCCACCTCTGCCACCCTTGAAACAGCAAAAGCAACCCTTCCTCTCCCTCCTCTTCCTCAGTCTACTCCATATGAAGATGATGAAGATGGAAGACCTTTATGATGATCCACTTCCACTTAATAAATTGTAAATATATATTCTCTTCCTTATGATTTTCCTAATAACATTTTCTGTCATCTAGCTTACTTTAATTTTAAGAATACAGTATATAGGCCGGGCGTGGTGGCTCACACCTGTAATTCCAACTCTTTGGGAGGCCAAGGCAGACGGATCACCTGAGGTCAGGAGTTTGAGACCAGCCTGGCCAACATGGTGAAACCCCATGTCTACTAAAAATACAAAAACTAGCCAGGCATGGTGGCATGTGCATGTAATCCCAGCTACTCGGGAGGCTGAGGCATGAGGATCACTTGAACCTGGGAGGCAGAAGTTGCAGTGAGCCGAGATCACACCATTGCACTCCAGCCTGGGCAACAGAGCAAGACTCTGTCTCAAAAAAAGAATACGGTATATAGTACATGCAACATACAAAATGTGTGTTAATCAACTGTTTATATTATCAGTAATGCTTCTGGTCAACAGCAGGCTATTACTAGTTAAGTTTTTGGGAAGTCAAAAGTTATACATGGATTTTGAACTGAGGGGAATCAGCAGCCTTAATCCCTGAGTTGTTCAAGAGTCAACTGTAAGGGAGCCAGAGGAGATGTATTCACATCTTTTTCTACCTCAGTTTATGTATTTTAAAAAATTAAATACATTTGAAAATATATTTTACTTTTTTACTTTAACTGTATGGTTTTCATCCTACAAAAACACTTTGAGGAGGGACTTGCAATCTCCACTTGTTTTTGAAAAAGGAATTGTGGCTCAGAGAGGTTAAATGACTTGCCTAAGGTCACACAGGGAATGAGCAACAGAGCAGAAACATGTATGCAGGTATTCTGATCAAATGTTTTTTTCTTTTTTTTTTTTTTTTGTCTTTTTTGAGATGGAGTCTCACTCTCTTACCCAGGCTGGAGTGCAGTGGCACGATCTCGGCCCAGTGCAACCTCTACCTCCTAGTTTCAAGCAATTCTCCTGCCTCAGCCTCCTGAGTAGCTGGGATTACAGGCACATGCCACCATGCCTGGCTAGGTTTTGTTTTTGTTTTGTTTTGTTTTGTTTTTCTTTTTTGGAACGGAGTCTCTCTGTGTTGCCCAGGCTAGAGTGCAGTGGCGCGATCTGGGCTCACTGCGACCTCCACCTCCCAGGTTCAAGCGATTCTCCTGCCTCGGTCTCCCGAGTAGCTGGGACTACAGGTGCCTGCCACCATGCCAAGCTAATTTTTGTATTTTTAATAGAGAGGGTGTTTCACCATATTGGCCAGGCTGGTCTCGAACTCCTGACCTCAAGTGATCCACCCACCTTGGCCTCCCAAAATGCTGGGATTACAGGTGTGAACCACCACGCCCAGCCAAATTTTTTCTTTTCTACAAAGTATTTCTGAAACTCAACTTTCCAGTACAATTTCTTTAGGAAACTTTTACGGTTTCAAAAATTGCTTTGGATGAGGAAAGAGTTCTCAGGTCTGCTTCTTGTGTTTGTGTATTTTTATATTTTTTCTCTCTTTCCTCCTGTTAAGCTGACAGTCATACTTTGTCTTTGTTATCAGTGTGTCCACGTGTAACAGTCTCCTCTGGCTAATCTTCTTTTTAAACTACTGTGGCTTTAAAGGCTGCAAAACAGAGGCTGTCAACAATGTGTGGAGAGTGCTGGATCTTGAAGAAGAGGGACCCAGGGTTTCTCTTGGAATAAATAACATAGGTGTGGGCTTCCTCAGACCTTTTTTGGGTAAACTATTTTCATTCCTTGGTGCTCAGAATAAATTAGACCAACAGATGGAATAATTACCGCTAAGTAAGGTTTTGTTGCAAATTTGTTAGTCCCAAGGTTGTTGGTTTTGTTTGTTTATTGGTTTTTTTTTTTTTAATTTTTATTTTTTGAGAGAGAGTTTCGCTCTTGGCTGGAGTGCAACGGCGCGATCTCGGCTCACTGCAACCTCTGTCTCCTGGGTTTAAGCGATTCTCCTGCCTCAGCCTCCCAAGTAGGTGGGACTACAGGTGTGTGCCACCACGCCCTGCTAATTCTTTTTGTATTTTTAGTAGAGACGGGGATTCACCATATTGGTCAGTCTGGTCTCAAACTCCTGACCTCTGGTGATCCACCTACCTCAGCCTCCCAAAGTGCTGGGATTACAGGCATGAGCCACAGTGCCCTGCCAGTTTTGTTTATTTTGTTACTGCTTTTTCCTCTCCCTCTGGAACCACTAGATTGTGAGTCATGCACAGCGTGTGTGTCTCTCTCATGCCCGCTATATAGTCACAGCAGCTGTTCTTTGATTCATTTGTTCATTCAACATATATACTTTGAGAGGCTGGCACAATGCCAGGCACTAAGTTTGATAGTGGAGACACACAAATTAAAAAGAGATTCATATCCTGACCTCAAGTTGATGACAATTTAGAAGGGCTATGCGTAGGAAAACAGAAAACTATAAGCAATAGACTCAGTGTCACGGTCCAGATATATCCAAGACACTTGGAGCACAGAGGGAGTCCTGCTCCAAGGGAGTCTTACGTCTTTTATTAGCCATAGATAGTTTCTAGAACACAATGTCAAAGATAATATTCCAGGCAGAAAGAGCATCGTATATAGACAGGAGGCATCAAAGAATGGGGATGGTCTAATTGAGAACTGCAACTCAGTTGCTATTGCTAGAGCATAGATCAATGGTGTACTGGCAACCTAAAATAAAACCCTGATTTGAAGTGTTTGCTGATAGCTTAGATGCAAATCCTCCCATCATACCCAATTTCCAGCTACTAGTGGCTTGACAACCACCTTGCAAAATTGCTGAATATTTAACAGTTGCCTCTCAAGAGTGGCTCCGGCACATGATTGAAACAGAATCACTCTCTCCAATGAGAATAAAATAACATTGTCCCAAACTGGCTATCCTGCATTCTCTGGAAAGTCCAATGACCTACCCTGGTTTATACTTCCCCCTCAGGATCTTGCACATTTATTGCCACACCTGCTTCATGACAACCCAACAAGAAACTTGGCCCTTTTCCTTGTTTTCCCCAAAACAACACTGTCATGGTGTAGAGATTTGCAATGACGATTTGGAATTCATGCAGCAGGAAAAGCAAATGGCCTAGAACAAGACATCTGACTTTGTTATTTACAAGTGTGTTGACCACTCTGCATGATGAGAGTGCAGGTATGTTTCTCTGTAGCCTCCAGGCACTTCTCCATCTCTCTCCAACCTCTTTCTGCAGGACCACACTGCTTCTTTCAGCTTCCTCGAGAAACTCAATCTCCCTAGGCTATCTACTAAAGCATTTTGCCTCCATACCTCCTGTGGATTTTCTGTGCATCCACAGGGGCTCAACTGTGAATTTTGCTAAACAAGGGATTTTTCTTTTGAATCTCACCATTCAGCAATACAGAAGCAAATATTTTGGAAATGCAACCTCTCCTTTCTTGTGCCTCCACCCATCTCTATACATGGAAGAGTGATTTTTTAAAAAAGAGCAGTTTCCTACTGATAAAAATGATGCCATACCTCACACCTTAGAAGACAGTAGCTATTACAGAGTATTTTATTTATAAGAGTACATTCTTAGCCATTGCAACAGAAGTAAGTTTTGTCAGCTGAAAGCATCTGTTAGGCAGGAGGAATAAGTTTTAGTGATAGACTGCTTTGCATAGTGACTATGGTTAATAATAATGTACATTTTAAAATTGCTAAAATAATAGATTTTGTTCTTACCACAAAAAAAGATAAGTGAGGTGATACGTTAATTAGCTTGATTTAATTATTTTACATGCATGTATCAAAACATCACATGGTATCCCATAAATAAATATAAATATGGATATATTTACACACACAATTATTATATATTTTATAAACAGTATAAGGAAAGAAGTACCAAAGGAGAGTGTGAACAGGTCTGTAAGACTATTGCAGACTTCAGTATTTGTTAAATCGATTACCCATTGAGGGATATATACCCTAAAGAGGGTCATACAAGGAAGCATAACTGTTAATTGAGCCAGTGCCTGTCCCATGAGTAGTTTCTATTTTTTTTTTATTTCATTTTGTCCTGGATACTCTCTATAGGTATAAGAGAAAGCACTGATTTGAAACCAATACTTTAATAAATCTTTTGCAATGTAGAATCTTCAATAAACTAATTTCCACACTTTTTTGTTCTGGAAAATCCGTTTTCACATGGTATAAAAAGTGTCCTGCCTCTCTCAGAGAACATCAGTGCAGCAAACAGCTATACAGTTTAATTAAAAGTATCTTTACTATATTACAAAATAGCTAGAAGAGAGGCTTCCCAATATCCTGAACAAACAGAAATGATAAATGCATGAGGTCATGGATACACTAACTACCCTGATTGGACCATTATACAACATAGATATGTATGGAAACCTCAGATTTAACCCCATAAATATGTACAATTACAATGTGTAAACAATTTTGAAAAACAGAATAAACAACTTGAAAACAGAGTGCTACGTATGCCAAGGGACATTTCCATTTTGCTTACAAAGAGATGGGACTTGATCGGAGGACAAAAGGGTTCTGTAGCAGGAAGAACTTAATTCAACAATCCCCAAAGCGGTGCTCAGTGAGATACTTTCACTGCCTTACATAATAACCTGTTGCTTCGGAGCCGGTAGAATGGATTGGTTTCTTCGCGGAATTTTCACATTTAGCAAATCCAAAGAGTAGGATAAATCCCAAATAAAATGAAAGGTGCGGTTGGGGGAGCTACCCGGGGATGTGTTGTAACATGTGTAGCTCAGCACTGCACGATGGTTCCACGTGACTTTTTTTTTTTTTTTTTTTTTTGAGACGGAGTCTCACTCTGTCCCCAGGCAGGAGTGCAGTGGTGCAATCTTGGCTCACTGCAACCTCCCCCTCCCGGGTGCAAGCGATTCTCCTGCCTCAGACTTCCCAGTAGCTGGAACTACAGGCACATGCCACCACACCCAGCTAATTTTTGTATTTTTAGTAGAGACGAGGTTTCACCATGTTAGCCAGGATGGTCTCGATCTTGACCTCGTGATCCGCCCGCCTCGGCCTCCCAAAGTGTTGGAATTACAGGCGTGAGCCACCCGCCCTGTCCCTCGTGACTTTTATGGAGCTAAGCCGAAAAGGGGTGGGGGACACTTAGAGATTGGGCCGGATATGCTTTGGGTGCCTGCCATGTGGGCCATGTCCAGTGCTTACACCCATAGGAGTGGCTATGTGCACACACATTTGTACACTCACCACCCCCACCACCACGTGCACGCACACACAGTCTTACAGAGTGCATTGAAAAATAAGGCTCTAGGTTTCATAAGGCACATAACGCGCTGGCTGCGGGAACCCCAGTGCAGAGCCAGGACTGCGCAGTTCAGATGGCTTTTCCTTCAGCCGGAGAAGCAATCCCTTCTAAATTAAATGCCAGGTGTGAAACAGGTTTCCTTGTCTCTGCTCCTCTGCTGTGAATAAACAGACATTCCTGCGCAAGTGCAAGGTAATCCATGCATAATTCATCCCGGGGCTCCGCTTTCCAGATGTGCAGCCACCCGTGGGTTCCGGTGGCCGCCTGGCTTTGTCTCCTGGAGAGGCAATATCGCCGGCAGCCAGATCTGATCTGACTCCGGCCAGCGGCCTCCCTGGCTGCAGCTGATCTGTGGCTGTCTTTGTGCCTGCCCGTGGCCCTGCCGCCCAAGCTCCCCGCCTGCTGCTGTCTGGGATCCCTTGTCGTTGGCTTACGTTGACTTCTCATACTTCACTTTTTATACTTCAAAGTTGAGATTGAATTTACCTTTATGAAGCAGACGTTTCTTGCTCAACGTGGAGGATTTATGGTTTCCTCTTGCTGGCCTGTTGGAAGGCCTTTTCCAAGACAGAAAGAACTTCTGGATGTTTAAAGATTATTGGTCCTTTTTATTGTGAGAGAAAGGAGCTAGAGAACTGGTTTCCATTGCCTCCTTTTGGGGGTGTGTGCCTTCTGCCGGCCAGGGACAGCTAAACATTTTACATGGGTCATTTACAGGTAATCTTTCAGGAAGACAAACATCAAATGCATATTCGGTGCTGCTCGGGACCTTATTCATCCCTTTGATGAATGTGCCTCAGAAAGGACGTGTGGAGGACATTGCAGCAGGCTGTGTGGGTTTATGTAGCCACCCTGTGTTCCCTAGCTTTGTGACTTCAGGAAGTTACCTTTCTTTCTCCTCACCTGTAACAGAGTTGCAAGGGTTGTTATAAGGGTCAAAAACAATACACGTCAAGTGCTTAAAATCATACCTGGCAACAATAAATGCTTCATAAATGTGCTCTTTTGCCATGTTATCCTGTTTAGTCAGCACTGAAGGCTGCCGTTTGTATCTTTATTTTTAGCTATAAAAACATTGAAGCTTGGACTCACCCCATGTCACAAACTAGGAATCCAGTAGCCCAGCTAAATTCACCGGCAGTATGTCTGAATTCAAACCCTGTGGACTCCATTTTATTCTGTACTACCCTTCTCTCTGGTTTTCCCTCCTGGAAATTAACCCCAGGATCCTGGATTTCCAAGTTGACAAGTAAAGCAACAACAACTAAAAGCTATACTCAGAAAATAAATTTTCACCACTGCAACCTGTCTCCTTAAAATGGGTGTGTGGTTATTCTTCTAATGTCTTGGCAATTTCAATGATATTTTGTTTGGATGAAACATTTCCATGTCTTCCCAAAGCAAGGTCAATCTTAGTAAAATTAGATTGTCTGCCTGGCCACGTTGTTCTTTATTCCACTTGGATATCACAGGTACCATTTTAAAGGGACACTAGCCTAGTGTAATTGTTTAGTTCCTGGAAACATTCACAGGTGTCAATTTGGCGATCCTGTCTTGATGACCATTTCTAATCTTTAACTTCCCTTCCCCAAACAGCCAACAATGACCTTCGCATTCTTGGTTCTGTAGCATTTATTTCAGATTTACTCTTTGGTTTTCCCAGCAACAGCGCATGAAAAGATATTGCATACAGAATGTCCGCTGAAAACCAATGAGGCCACCTACCATTACACCTCACAGACTGGTTTCACTTTAAATTGAGGACCCTGTGCTTCATATCATATGCAACACTGCCTGGCTATTTAATGCTACATAAATAGAACTTAGCAAAACTTAACATTATACAAAAAAATAATTTATAGGTCTCTGAATAAAAATGCACAGCAATGCATGATGTTTAATTTATTCCCATTCTATTAATTAGAAAGCTGAGGTTCAGAGACATTCCATGCACGGTCCACGGCTCCAGAGCTGCAGTGTGGCAGAGGAGACCCCATCAGTCTGACTCCAGTTCCACTCCCTCCCTTCGTATTACTAAGGTCATGGGCTTAACATAAGTTTTATCATTTCAGAACATGACAAGTGTTTGACTTTGTGAATGAGCAAAGTTAGAATTCCAAAACCTGTAAGAAATGAAGCAAGGGAAGCACTGCTCTCTTTTATTTTTCAGATGGTGAGAAAGGCTGACTCCTACTGCAGAGAAGAGGGAGGGGTAGAACCATATTTACAACCTCTTATTTTTCTTTTAATTCAGAGCTATGCTAACAAACACTGCCTTAATAAAATCAAATGAGGTGAATACTACAACACACAGGAAAGACCCTTGGCCTCTGGGCATGCAGAGCCTAAAATTTGGAGCCAGATGAACCTACCCACTGTGTGATTGCTACAAGTCAATGAGCCCCTCTGAGTTTCTCAATTACTTCATGTATAAAATGTGAGTAATACTACTTACCTCCAAGAATTCAGTGAAATAATGTGTAAAGTATGTGGCATAAAGTAGTCACTCAACATTTTTAACTTCTTGCCCCTGTGACTTCCCTAGAACCCTGAAGATGCTCCTGCAGAGGAGTCATCCAGGGCCCTGGACCATCAGATTGCCATTGGCCATGACTATTTGTCAACACTATGGTTTTGTTTGTGCAGAAGACTCTTCTTCTGGGAAATGATCCTTCCTCTACTCTAGCCTTTTTATATGAATGGGATATTCTAGATTGTCCCAAGAATGGGCATTTACTCAAATCAGAGCGATCCCTGGGATTTTGAACTTGGGGTCAGAAAGAACAAATCTCAGGCTATTGTTAAGCAAATCTCAGGCTGCTGCTGGCAGAGAGGAAGAAGGAAATGAAACTGCTGTCCCAACCTTTTCCCCCTTGTGGAGAAAGCAGGTCTGAGAGGTGAAAACAAGGGCCTATTAGAGAGATACCTTGAGTCCAGCTGCTCTCTACCCTTTGTTTTCCAGAACCTTCCAATACTTCACAGTTTCTTCTCCTCTCCTAAATCCTTGCATACTCTAGTTCAAATGTGGTGTGCTAGTCAGAGGCAGAGCCGGGATTCCTACACATGTCTCTTTGAAGGCAATTCCAGGCTGCTTTCACTCATGCTCAGGAACCCTACTGTTCACCAAGGGATCCCAGCCTGCTGGTCTTATCTGTATTCCCAGCCCCCAGGCTCCACCCTGATACAAGTCACATATTCCTGTGCCTGTTTATTACTCTGGTTGTGATGACTGGGCCAGCCTCACACCCAGTACCAGCCTCTCTATAACAGCTACGGATCTGTTCCAATGTGCCCATCTAACCAAGTTCACCTCTTCTCTGACAATGCCAGAGAGCTCCTTATTATGCTTGTCCTGAGGGTGGGGATGATCTGTTATTTATTTGTGCTTCTCTGGGGTCTGGCATATGTACTTGAGCCATAACTTTTGTTGCATGAAAGAATGCAAACCTGAGAGATGATGGACTGTGGAACTGAAGGCGGGGAAAAGATGCCTCTTCAATTCTCAGTAGTGAGGAATGATCTCTGGGAAGACTGTCTGCCCAAGGTAACAGAGCCCTGTTGTCAGGCATCTTTTTTCTTGTGCTCCCCACTATTCTCAACCCCTTCAGTCCAATGTTTCAGAAACTTCCAGCTACTTAGCTGTGTCTGAAAAGGCAAAGACTTTATTTATCTCAACTTCAAATTCCTATTCTACAAGAAAACCCCACTGTGACATTTTATTCTTCTTTATTTCTTCTCTGCATTACTACTTGTCCATGGGGCAGGTAGTGCAAAATAAGAACAGACTTATAGACAAACAAAGTTACTGTAAGGTTCCTGTACTGATAAGCAAGCGAAAGGCCTTTAACTGCCTGGGTGTTGAGTGTCCCTTGTGTATCCATTGTCTTGCCAATGATACATCTAACAAGCATTTTATGATCGCCACATGAAAGTTCTGGAGCACCACATACGAAGGCACTCAGAGGACAAGGAGAGGTCTTCTGCGGCTTGGAAGCCACATGCCTCACTGAGGGGACAGAACCAAAGCCAGGCTTCAGTTCACACTTGATGATGTCTTGCCTTTTGCTGCTTTGAGGCAGGCTCCCCAGCTAATACTGCCAGAGAAGGATGCAGCTTGGAACTGCAGCACCTTGTAGAGGCAGGTGTCTTCTCTCTGCACTCGTAGACTTCAACTTCATGGTGACCCGCTGGTGCTTGCTAGTGTGTGTCTGCAAGCTGCTCTCTTTATCTCAAGTACAGCTAATTCATCGCCCTGATATCAACACTGCCCTTGACACAAAATTTCAAGGGGAGAAAACTAAGAAGGGTGGATGGCGAAAGGGATGACATGACAAACTACACGCAGCTGACTCCTTGTTGAAAAGATGCCCCTGGAGGTAAATTTTAGATAGAAATCTATATAGTCTGGCATCAATGTGAACATACATCATTTTATAATTAATTTGGAGAGTTCAGAAGAAACATTAAGTATTGATTCCAATTAGCTTTGGGGTCTAAATTAATTGTTTTCTTACTTGAAAATTCCTCAGCTAATGGCTGGCGGGGAGGGGTAGAAAGAGCAATGCTAGGAACCCACAGCATGGAATTCTAGCATTAGCTCCGAGGATTCCTTTATCCGATCTTGCAACTGTTTTTTTCTGCCAACTCATTCCATGTTATTTCTTCAAAAAGTGCAAAAGTTTTAGAGCTCTTAGCCCATGTAGCTACCATAATCCCAGCCAAAAGCCAACATTTCAAAGTTCTTTAGAAGGTAGTAGGTTTTGCTATTTATAGAAAATTAGCATATGAAGGTTAGTGATCACTGCAATGAGATGTTTATGAAACACCCTTTATTATTTTGTATGGCCTGAAAAGTATTATATTTTGTGGATAATTTAGGTGTTCTCTTGAGGGCTGGTGTCCTTGATTTGTTCCTTTGCTTCCAAGTATGAAGTTCACCCTGCCCTCCAAAGCCCTTAGTTTTATTCACCCCTTCCTACAGCTGCTCCTGAGACCTAGTGACCTTAATATTTACCTCAGTGAGCCTCTTCCAAAGGGCTTTATTTATGGTTTACAAATGCATTCATTTCTCCTCTCCTGTTGAACCAGTCAGGGATCTTTTTCAGTTCTTTGCTGTCAAGAGAATAAATTCACACAAGACATAGAAAATAATCCGAGATGAGCACTTATTTGCAAATATTTAGCTTTGTTGAGGGAGAAATGGGTTTTTTGAGATGACGTCTTGCTGTATCGCCCAGGCTGGAGTGCAGTGGCATGATCTTGGTTCACTGCAAGCTCTGCCTCCTGGGTTCATGCCATTCTCTTGCCTCAGCCTCCCGAGTAGCTGGGACTACCAGCACACACCACCACACCTCACTAATTTTTTGTATTTTAGTAGAGATGGGGGTTCACCGTGTTAGCCAGGATGGTCTTGATCTCCTGACCTCGTGATCCGCCCACCTCAGCCTCCCAAAGTGACGAGATTATAGGCGTGAGCCACCACACACGGCCAAGAAAGAGTTTTCTTTTTTTTTTTTTAATTTAAGTTTTAGGGTACATGTGCACAACATGCAGGTTTGTTACATATGTATACATGTGCCATGCTGGTGTGCTGCACCCATTAACTCGTCATTTAACATTAGGTGTATCTCCTAATGCTATCCCTCCCCCCTCCCCCCACCCCACAACAGGCCCCGGTGTGTGATGTTCCCCTTCCTGTGTCCATGTGTTCTCATTGTTCAATTCCCACCTATGAGTGATAACATGCAGTGTTTGGTTTTTTGTCCTTGGTGATAGTTTGCTGAGAATGATGGTTTCCAGCTTCATCCATGTCCCTACAAAGGACATGAACTCATCCTTTTTTATGGCTGCATAGTATTCCATGGTGTATATGTGCCACATTTTCTTAATCCATTCTATCATTGTTGGACATTTGGGTTGGTTCCAAGTCTTTGCTATTCTGAATAGTGCCGCAATAAACATACGTGTGCATGTGTCTTTATAGCAGCAGGATTTATAATCCTTTAGGTATATACCCAGTAATGGGATGGCTGGGTCAAATGGCATTTCTAGTTCTAGATACCTGAGGAATCGCCACACTGACTTCCACAATGGTTGAACTAGTTTACAGTCCCACCAACAGTCTAAAAGTGTTCTTATTTCTCCACATCCTCTCCAGCACCTGTTGTTTCCTGACTTTTTAATGATTCCCATACTAACTGGTGTGAGATGGTATCTCATTGTGGTTTTGATTTGCGTTTCTCCGATGGCCAGTGATGATGAGCATTTTTTCATGTGTCTTTTGGCTGCATAAATGTCTTCTTTTGAGAAGTGTCTGTTCATATCCTTTGCCCACTTGTTGATGGGGTTGTTTTTTTCTTGTAAATTTGTTTGAGTTCATTGTAGATTCTGGATATTAGCCCTTTGTCAGCTGAGTAGATTGCAAAAATTTTCTCCCATTCTGTAGGTTGCCTGTTCACTCTGATGGTAGTTTCTTTTGCTGTGCAGAAGCTCTTTGGTTTAATCAGATCCCATTTGTCAATTTTGGCTTTTGTTGCCATTGCTTTTGGTGTTTTAGACATGAAGTCCTTGCCCATGCCTATGTCCTGAATGGTATTGCCTAGGTTTTCTTCTAGGGTTTTTATGGTTTTAGGCCTAACATTTAAGTCTTTAATTCATCTTGAATTAATTTTTGTGTAAAGTGTAAGAAAGGGATCCAGTTTCAGCTTTCTACATATGGCTAGCCAGTTTTCCCAGCACCATTTATTAAATAGGGAATCCTTTCCCCATTGCTTGTTTTTCTCAGGTTTGTCAAAGATCAGATAGTTGTAGATATGTGGCATTATTTCTGAGGGCTCTGTTCTGTTCCATTGGTCTATATCTCTGTTTTGGTACCAGTACCATGCTGTTTTGGTGACTGCAGCCTTGTAGTATAGTTTGAAGTCAGGTAGAGTGATGCCTCCAGCTTTGTTCTTTTGGCTTAGGATAGACTTGGCAATGTGGGCTCTTTTTTGGTTCCATCTGAACTTTAAAGTAGTTTTTTCCAATTCTGTGAAGAAAGTCATTGGTAGCTTGATGGGGATGGCATTGAATCTATAAATTACCTTGGGCAGTATGGCCATTTTCACAATATTGATTCTTCCTACCCAGGAGCATGGAATGTTCTTCCATTTGTTTGTATCCTCTTTTATTTCATTGAGCAGTGGTTTGTAGTTCTCCTTGAAGAGATCCTTCACATCCCTTGTTAATTGGATTCCTAAGTATTTTGTTTTCTTTGAAGCAATTGTTAATGGGAGTTCACTCATGATTTGGCTTTCTGTTTGTCTGTTATTGGTATATAAGAATGCTTGTGATTTTTGCACATTGATTTTATATCCTGAGACTTTGCTGAAGTTGCTTATCAGCTTAAGGAGATTTTGGGCTGAGACGATGGGGCTTTCTAGATATACATTCATGTCGTCTGCAAACAGGGACAATTTGACTTCCTCTTTTCCTAATTGAATACCCTTTATTTCCTTCTCCTGCCTGATTGCCCTGGCCAGAACTTCCAGCACTATGTTGAATAGGAGTGGTGAGAGAGGGCATCCCTGTCTTCTGCCAGTTTTCAAAGGGAATGCTTACAGTTTGTGCCCATTTGGTATGATATTGGCTGTGGGTTTGTCATAGATAGCTCTTATTATTTTGAGATACATCCCATCAATATCTAATTTATTGAGAGTTTTTAGCATGAAGAGTTGTTGAATTTTGTCAAAGGCCATTTCTGCATCTATTGACATAATCATGTGGTTTTTGTCATTTGTTCTGTTTATATGCTGGATTACATTTATTGATTTGCATATGTTGAACCAGCCTTGCATCCCAGGGATGAAGCCCACTTGATCATGGTGGATAAGCTTTTTGATGTGCTGCTGGATTCGGTTTGCCAGTATTTTATTGAGGATTTTTGCATCGATGTTCATCAGGGATATTGGTCTAAAATTCTCTTCTTTTGTTGTGTCTCTGCCAGGCTTTGGTATCAAGATGATGCTGGCCTCATAAAATGAGTTAGGGAGGATTCCCTCTTTTTCTATTGATTGGAATAGTTTCAGAAGGAATGGTACCAGCTCCTCCTTGTACCTCTGGTAGAATTCGGCTGTGAATCCATCTGGTCCTGGACTTTTCTTGGTTGGTAAGGTATTAATTATTGCCTCAATTTCAGAGCCTGTTATTGGTCTATTCAGAGATTCAACTTCTTCCTGGTTTAGTCTTGGGAGGGTGTATGTGTTGAGGAATTTATCCATTTCTTCTAGATTTTCTAGTTTATTTGCATAGAGGTGTTTATAGTATTCTCTGATGGTAGTTTGTATTTCTGTGGGATCGGTGGTGATATCCCCTTTATCATTTTTTATTGCGTCTATTTGAATCTTCTCTCTTTTCTTCTTTATTAGTCTGGCTAGCGGTCTATCAATTTTGTTGATCTTTTCAAAAAACCAGCTCCTGGATTCATTGATTTTTTGAAGGGTTTTTTGTGTCTCTATTTCCTTCAGTTCTGTTCTGATCTTAGTTATTTCTTGCCTTCTGCTAGGTTTTGAATGTGTTTGCTCTTGCTTCTCTAGTTCTTTTAATTGTGATGTTAGGGTGTCAATTTTAGATCTTTCCTGCTTTCTCTTGTGGGCATTTAGTGCTATAAATTTGCCTCTATACACTGCTTTGAATGTGTCCCAGAGATTCTGGTATGTTGTGTCTTTGTTCTCATTGGTTTCAAAGAACATCTTCATTTCTGCCTTCATTTCGTTACATACCCAGCTGTCATTCAGGAGCAGGTTGTTCATTTTCCATGTAGTTGAGTGGTTTTGAGTGAGTTTCTTAATCCTGAGTTCTAGCTTGATTGCACTGTGGTCTGAGAGACAGTTTATTATAATTTCTGTTCTTTTACACTTGCTGAGGAGTGCTTTACCTCCAACTATGTGGTGAATTTTGAAATAGGTGTGGCGTGGTGCTGGAAAGAATGTATATTCTGTTGATTTGGGGTGAAGAGTTCTGTAGATGTCTATTAGGTCCGCTTGGTGCAGAGCTGAGTTCAATTCCTGGATATCCTTGTTAACTTTCTGTCCCGTTGATCTATCTAATGTTGACAGTGGGGTGTTAAAGTCTCCCAGTATTATTGTGTGGGAGTCTAAGTCTCTTTGTAGGTCTCTAAGGACTTGCTTTATGAATCTAGGTGCTCCTGTTTTGGGTGCATATATATTTAGGATAGTTAGCTCTTCTTGTTGAATTGATCCCTTTACCATTATGTAATGGCCTTCTTTGTCTCTTTTGATCTTTGTTGGTTTAAAGTCTGTTTTATCAGAGACTAGGATTGCAACCCCTGCCTTTTTTTGTTTTCCATTTGCTTGGTAGATCTTCCTCCATCCCTTTATTTTGAGCCTGTGTGTGTCTCTGCACGTGAGATGGGTTTCCTGAATACAGCACACTGATGGGTCTTGATTCTTTGTCCAGTTTGCCAGTCTGTGTCTTTTAATTGGAGCATTTAGCCCATTTACATTTAAGGTTAATATTGTTATGTGTGAATTTGATCCTGTCATTATGATGTTAGCTGGTTATTTTGCTCATTAGTTGATGCAGTTTCTCCTTCCTAGCCTCAATGGTCTTTACAATTTGGCATGTTTTTGCAGTGGCTGGTACTGGTTGTTCCTTTCCATGTTTAGTGCTTCCTTCAGGAGCTCTTCAGGGTAGGCCTGGTGGTGACAAAATCTCTCAGCATTTGCTTGTCTGTAAGGAATTTTATGTCTCCTTCAGTTATGAAGCTTAGTTTGGCTGGATACGAAATTCTGGGTTGAAAATTATTTTCTTTAAGAATGTTGAATATTGGCCCCCACTCTCTTCTGGCTTGTGGAGTTTCTGCGGAGAGATCAGCTGTTAGTCTGATGCGCTTCCCTTTGTGGGTAACCTGACCTTTCTCTCTGGCTGCCCTTAACATTTTTTCCTTCATTTCAACTTTGGTGAATCTGACAATTATGTGTCTTGGAGTTGCTCTTCTTGAGGAGTATCTTTGCGGCATTCTCTGTATTTCCCGAATCTGAATGTTGGCCTGCCTTGCTAGATTGGGGAAGTTCTCCTGGATAATATCCTGCAGAGTGCTTTCCAACTTGGTTCCATTCTCCCCGTCACTTTCAGGTACACCAATCAGACATAGATTTAGTCTTTTCACATAGTCCCATATTTCTTGGAGGCTTTGTTTGTTTCTTTTTATTCTTTTTTCTCTAAACTTGTCTTCTCACTTCATTTCCTTCATTTGATCTTCCATCACTGATACCCTTTCTTCCAATTGATCGAATTGGCTACTGAGGCTTGTGCGTTTGTCACGTAGTTCTCATGCCTTGGTTTTCAGCTCCATCAGGTCTTTTAAGGACTTCTCTGCATTGGTTATTCTAGTAAGCCATTCGTCTAATCTTTTTTCAAGGTTTTTAACTTCTTTCTCATGGGTTCGAACTTCCTCCTTTAGCTCGGAGTAGTTTGATCATCTGAAGACTTCTTCTCTCAACTCATCAAAGTCATTCTCCGTCCAGCTTTTTACCGCTGCTGGTGAGGAGCTGCATTCCTTTGGAGGAGGAGAGGCGCTCTGATTTTTAGAATTTTCAGTTTTTCTGCTCTGTTTTTTCCCCATCTTTGTGGTTTTATCTACCTTTGGTCTTTGATGATGGTGACTTACAGATGGGGTTTTGGTGTGGATGTCCTTTCTGTTTGTTTGTTTTCTTCTAACAGTCAAGACCCTCAGCTGCAGGTCTGTTGGAGTTTGCTGGAGGTCCACTCCAGACCCTGTTTGCCTGGGTATCAGCAGCGGAGGCTGCAGAACAGCAGATATTGGTGAACAGCAAATGTTGCTGCCTGATCGTTCCTCTGGAAGTTTTGTCTCAGAGGAGTACACGGCCGTGTGAGGTGTCAGTCTACCCCTACTGGGGGTTGCCTCCCACTTAGGCTACTTGGGGGTCAGGGACCCACTTGAGGAGGCAGTGTGTCCATTTTCAGATCTCCAGCTGTGTGCTGGGAGAACCACTACTCCCGTCAAAGCTGTCAGACAGGGACATTGAAGTCTGCAGAGGTTTCTGCTGCCTTTTGTTTGGCTATGCCCTGCCCCCAGAGGTGCAGTCTACAGAGGCAGGCAGGCCTCCTTAAGTAGTGGTTGGCTCCACCCAGTTCGAGCTTCCTGGCTGCTTTGTTTACGTACTCAAGCCTCGGCAATGGTGGGTGCCCCTCCCCCAGCCTCGCTGCTGCCTTGCAGTCGCCTTGCAGTTTGATCTCAGACTGCTGTGCTAGCAATGAGCGAGGCTCCATGGGCGTAGGACCCTCTGAGCCAGGCGTGGGATACAATCTCCTGGTGTGCCGTTTGCTAAGACCATTGGAAAAGCACAGTATTAGGGTGGGAGTGACCTGATTTTCCAGGTGCCATCTGTCACCCCTTTCCTTGGCTAGGAAAGGGAATTCCCTGACCTCTTGTGCTTCCCGGGTGAGCAGATGCCTCGCCCTGCTTTGGCTCACACTCAGTGTGCTGCACCCACTGTCCTGCACCCACTGTCCGATAATCCCCAGTGAGATGAACCCGGTACCTCAGTTGGAAATGCAGAAATAATTCGTCTTCTGCGTCACTCATGCTGGGAGCTGTAGACTGGAGCTGTTCCTATTCGGCCATCTTGGCTCCACCCTCCACAAGGATCAAGAAAGGGTTTTCTTAGGGCTTCTAAGGCTGACCTTTTTATGTCAGGAGACAAGCCTAGCAAACTGGAACAAAGTAACTTGTTATATCCAAATGAATGAATCAGAGGAGAATGATATGTTAGAAAAGTTTCTCTACATTGGTGAAAGCCCTTCATGGCACTCAGTGGGAGACCCAGAGTCAGAGAGAGAGGGAAGAGGGCAATGGTTCTAAATGGAGTGTGCTGGTTTCTCCTCTAGAATTCAAGAACAGAAGGGAAGGGCCTTACTTCTTTCCTTGCGCATGGGCTGTCAATGGAGGCATAAAGACTTCCAGAAAGGCATGGTTCTACCTCCAACAGGGTACCCAGCGGAAATGTAACAATGACAAAGGAAGTTTGTTGGGATGGTCAGCCTTGAAACGGCAACATAATGTCCTGCTTGTTTCTCTATAATAGAGAAAAAATCATCCAGCGTTACTGGGACCCCAAGAGATACACAGAAGGGCTAAGCTGACCATGACCTGGAAGGGAACTCAAGTTGGAACAAGACCATAGAGCACAGGGACCTTGCAACCAAAGGCAGTAGCAAGAGCATCTGCCGTGAGTCGAAGTTGCTTACACGATGCCCAACTCCACATCAGCAGATAGAACCCAGATAAAGATTGAGAGCCAGAAATGAAGAGTGGGCAAAACAAACCAGCTCTCTTTTATGATGTTCAGGAACTTGGATCACCCCAGAAGAAAGGGCAGGAACACTAAAGAAACCCTTGAAGATTGAGTATTTATTACAAGTGACCAAAAATAGACCTGGACGGAGGCTGAGTTAATCATTTTAAGTTTCTGAACAATCCGCTCATCAGATGGAATAAACCAGAATGGGATAGATCAAGTTGTCTTATTCAAGAACATATATGCTGGAGGCTTGAGGGGAAGGTCAAACTCAGACACAGGAAGATTTACCAGGAAGACAATGATGCTTAACTCTCAAGACCTCTGCCTTGCATTGTGCTTGCCATTTTGTATTCTTTTTCCCCCAAGAGAATCTCACAAGATCAAGATCAGCCTCAGAGCTCAGATGCAGATATTAATGAACTTTGTAAAAAATCTGAGTTTCGATGTGTTAATTGAGACTTTCATTTCCTATCTGACATTTTATTGAGAATTTCAGGTTGTCATGGTTCCTGTACCATAAGCTTCGTGAAGTCAGAGACATGCCTACCTATTTCCTTATGCCTTACAAAATACACAATTCTCAGTACATAGTAGATGCTCAAATGAGTTTTAAATGAAGAAGCCAGGCTTGGGCAGAGCAGTCAGCAATGGTTTCTTGGAAGAGAAAGACTTAAATTGCTTTGATATTGACGTTCAGACACCTAAGAAGTAGCAAAAAACAAACCAGGTGACAAATAAATTTAAAGAAGGACCTGGGTATAAAACAACTGGCCAGAATGGAAGGTTCAAGAAGCCAAAATAGTGCAGTCTATATTAGTAGCCCTTAAATAAAAAACTCCTAATCACAAGAAGTGCTCTTAATGGTATATCATATTCTGAAACTTAATGTTGTCAGAAAGGAGGCTGGTCAAAGGACAGACCTATGCTATATATAATCTTTAATGTCCACTCAAATAAAGAAGTAAGATAATAGAGATGCTTTAAAATCTTGGTCTAGGTCGCTCTCTATTTGGACCACTCAGCTTTAACGAAATTTACTCAACATTATTTCCCCATGGAAGCAAAATTAAAAGGACAAATGAACAGCTACTTACAAATCTTTTAAAAAAGTGGACTTTGTTTTATTAAGGAAAAAAACAATGTGATGTATATAAAGCTGATATCTAGGTGACAGGTTCATGTTTCCTTCAAAGTTAGAAAATAACTGAAATTTAAAAGGATATGATATAGCTCAATATATTGATTAACTTCACTGACCATATGCTGGGGACTCATTGACATGTGTAAGAGGGTTCCTCAAGCTCTGTGGCACTGGTCAAGGCCAGGCAAGACCCCCTGAATGCAGAGCCAGACCCTGCCAGGGGCTTCCCCCAGGGGAAAACCCAGCCATCCTTTCACGCGCTTGGTTTTCTTCACCACCACACTATGTTATTTTCTGGGTCACATTAGCTAAGGCAACAAAAATAAAAAGGACTGTTGTTTAGGCAGATTTTCTCTAAAAGGGCAAGGAATAAACCTTTTGCTCCAACTCTTAAACGTACCTCAACTAACAATTTAGTTTGGCATAAATCCTGGGAGGTTTGAAAGGCATCTTTCAGGCCTAGCAGTAAGGTGCATTTCAGGAGATTACACAGTTAGGACTGAGATAGAAAAATGTTCCCAGCAGTGCAAATGGAGAAAAGTGTGTGTGATTTGTGCTTAAAGTCTACATGCCATGTCTAAGATGCATGTCATATATTTACTCGAAGGAACTCAGAGCAATCATTTTTTACTCTAGAAGAAAATACTGATACTTCATCCTGTTTCTAATATTACTAAACACTTCACATGTCACAGTTAGGGAAAAAATTTTAAAAAACAAGTTGCACTCTGAGGACTCTGAGACAAACCAAAAATAAAAGGGTCACGCTGACTGGCTCTGTTCCCACAAATCATAAACTTTTGAATATTTCCCATTAAGTCAGCTGCAATCATCATGTAAGATAGTTGCTGTTTTTCCACTATGAACAGACTAATATAAATTTAATAACCTTGGGAATTCCACTTTTTGTTTTCTTTAAATACTTGTTTTTCTTAGTTGGGGATGGAGGCTTTCAGTCCTTCAAAATCTTTCTCTCTTGCTCACACTGATGTCTTGATGTTTCTTTCTCTGAGTCTTCCTTTTTTAGTTATTCCTGGAGGTTCCATTGAGACAAAACTCAACCGAGTGTAACCTGTAACAATTTATTCTCTTTCCGATCAGAATATAAAATTGGGTACATGTGATTTATAAAATATAAGCAAGCCCAAAAGCTCATTTAATTAGGTTGTATATACTTGCTATTAAAAAATAAGGAATATGCTTCACAAGTAAAAATGATATCTACAAAGTCCTCCCAGTAAAAGTGGTCTAATACTAGCTCTAGGCTTATGAAATTTACTTAAGAAGATAAAGAATGTCATTACCTGCAAGCCCAGAAAATAAACAGGAAGGATATCCTATGAGCTTACATGTATGGTAGGTGCACCCTACAGAGGTTTCTAAGATGGTTCTTGGTTCTTAATCTCAATAGAGCTAATAAGGACAGTAAGATACTTCCGACACGTAAAAGTAAATTACAAACCCAGTGTCTTTTTAAAATTCCCGTCAGAAACTAATGTTTCAGTGTAACATCACGTGTCCCTACTTTTGTTAATTATACAAATAATGTACTTCAGTATTAATATCTCTTATGACACCTGCATACATAAACTATTTTTAAAACAACAATATCAAATTAGTGACACAAAAATCAGAAAATTTATTAGCAGCTTATCTGGCCAAATCCACATTTGATGGCAGGATATTGACTAGGAGAGAGAATTATAGAAGCAAAAAATGATACTTGTACCACTTCTAATATGACTAAGACCCTCACAAACCATAGGTAGACCATAGGCTTTGTACCTGAGATAAGACAGGTACAGCAGGTTCATCCTAACTTGGAATGGACCTCAAATAATGAAAGCTTCACTCATTCCCACACATCTGAACTCCTTTACAAAATCATTTATATTCTTGATCTTTGCTGTGCTGATGTCTGAAAGTATGTCTTGACATTTGTAAATATAATAGTATTAGACAACTGTTGTTTTTGCCTTCAACAGACAAATGTTACTTGGCAACCTTGGTATTTTTGCTTTTTTCTCCTTTAATTTCTGATTGCATTTTTTAAAATTTGGTAATCTAGTCCTTCTGCAGTCTGACTCCCTTATACTCATTTCCTTTATGAATGTTTCTGTCTCTGAGCCTTCCTTTGACAATCCACAATTACAAGCTCAAGTATTTCTTAAATGACTATTTAAATGAAAACCCACCTATTATCCACAGTCTAAAATAGTTACCTAAAGTAATTTCAGATTATACATTTTTTTATAGTGGAAGACCTTTATTTTTCTGATTAAAAACATCATGCAAGTACATTTTTAGAGAACAAAAAAATGAATAAAAAGCCTGTAAACCACCAACCAGAAAAAAACCTTACTCTAATATATAATCAGTGTGTGTGTGTGTGTGTGTGTGTGTGTGTGTGTGTGTGTGTGGTTTGTGTACTTATCAAATCCACACTGGTGTACATTTATGTTGTGTTTACATTTTTACCATAATAGGTTATTAATTCTTTTGTTCTCTACCATAATCCTGTTTTTCGTTTTTTTGTTTTGTTTTGTTTTGTTTTTGTTTTTTTGAGATGGAGTCTTGCCCTGTTGCCCAGGCTGGAGGGCAGTGGCGCAATCTGGGCTCACCACAAGCTCCGCCTCCTGGGTTCACGCCATTCTCCTGCCTCAGCCTCCCGAGTAGCTGGGACTACAGATGCCTGCCACCACGCCTGGCTCATTGTTTTTGTATTTTTATTAGAGACAGGGTTTCACCTTGTTAGCCAGGATGGTCTCGATCTCCTGACCTTGTGATCTGCCCACCACAGCCTCCCACAGTGCCGGGATTAATCCTGTTTTATTATAACTTAATTAGGAGGTATGATACCTTACCTGTTAAAAACTTAACCAGGCAGAATAATTTTGTAGAATATACACCAGAAGATAACCCTTAAATGCAAATTCTAGAGTAATGGATAGATACAGTTGTAAAAGTTCCCAAATTAAAGTGACCATTAAATGTTTTGGAAAATAAGTTTTATAATAACTGCTGTCAGGGGTGTAACTGGACACAACAAATTACGAAGGGTGATTTGATAGCATATTTTTAAAAGCCTTAAACATGGGGAGAGCTATCAACTTAGCAATTCTAAATCCAGGATATGTTCAGGCTTCTTCAAGGATGTTTGTGATAGCCTAAAAATTCACATGAGAAAAATATTTTTAAAAATATCCAACAAACGGCTATTATTAATTCTTATGCATCTGAAACTTTGTTCCCACTCCTCATCATTTTTAAGCTATAGTTCAAAAAAAGAGAATTGCTGAAAAAGTATTTCCAGAGTTAAAGCATTTGAAACATAGTCTCAAACTGTCCTGCATAAAGGTTGTACTAATGTATACAATTTATGAAATACTATACTTCCCTATCTTTGCCTTCATAGTATTAGAAAATTTCTTTTTCCCAATTATATGAAATCTGTCTAAATACATTAACCATGATATGAATTTTTAATGCTGGTATTTGGCCACATTGGAAAAAAAAATATGTATGTCTGGTTTTATTTACAAGTCTATTATCAACGTTTATTATAAATAAGTTCTCATACATGGCAGCGTTAGCACTCAAAAATACTGACTTTAGTATTCAAGATTTTATACTTTCGAATATACTTACAGAAATTCCGACATTTTTACTAAAAAAAAAGTTATAGCTACTGATAAGCACATTAAGTCACTGTGACTATCATTTAAGGAAACAATTATATTTGGAAATAGAAGTTTTAATCAAAACCACATGTGCAAATTTGCTAGCTATTCTTTCCTACTGTGTCCACTGATTGCCACTTGAGTTTTAGCTCTGATATATATTAGGCCTATGTATACTGCATGTATAAATATACAAACCATAGTCGTGGTAAAACCAAGTCAATCCTGAATTTTGATTTTCTAGGGATTTGGTTCTGGGGTCCATATTTGTGCTAAAGGTCATGCGAGTTATGGGATTGAGTAATAAATATTAACTCAATTTCCTGGTTGCTTCTCTTGTAGTAAAGACCTGTTGATAACTGGGCAATACAGAGGCGCCTCAGAGCTCTAATATTTCAGTAAGCCATGGTCCCTGCTCACTCATCCTATGCTAACACCTACAACACACTTTAAAATGAACCAGATGTAGAGTGCTCGGCTAGGGGCCTGTGCAGAGACTGCACATAGTGGAGGTTTGCTTCAGGGAGTGCCTTACAGTATTACAAGTGGCCAATTAATTTCCTTACAGTGCTATGCAAAATACTATGAAATACCAGGAAATCGGTTGGTTTTCTCTCCCTGTAATACTGGCAGGGGTGTAACTGGACACAACAAATTATGTTTTATTTCATAAAACATGTTCACATGTTTTATGAAATATGGCTTTAATAAAAAAACATGACAACGTAACAGCAGAGGTCAGTAAGGTCACCCACGTCATAGCGGGGTCATTCGGAATCCACGTTAGGAATTAATGTGGCCCATGTCATGGAATGGTGTGTGTTAGTGAGCACTTGGAGAAGCATGGCAGGATGAAGAGCTTGCAATGTCTTTGTTTACCCACTAATACTTGTAATCTTTTCAAAGCCCCCTAAGTGTTGTCCTAAAAATGCAAATAAAGTCACAAATTGAAACGTGAGAAGAACTCCAGAGGACACACCAAGAGGGTAGACTAAAGTAGTCACACTTGACTTCTAGGTGCCTCGTGCTGATTAATTAGCAGAAAAACAAATAAAACCTGATGATTGAGGAACACATAGGTTGCAACTGGAATGAAAGAGAGGGCATTCCTAGTTTGAAAAAACAAAACAGGGATTTATGCTCTTAACTGATAGAATTTTTGAAACAATTTTTATTTGTATTCTTTTTGAAAAAACCTTGTCTCTTATTTTGTCTCCATTTTATCTTCCCTGTGTGGCAAGTTTTCAATAAGGAATAAATTCTTCCCTTCTAGGTTTTGCAGAATATCCTTCCTTACTTTTTTTTATGTGTCTTTTAATTTTTCCCGGCTTCATTGAAGTATAATTGACAAAAAATTGTAAATATTTCAAGGATACAACGTGGTATTTTGATATAAGTATACATTGTGTAATGACTCCCACAATCAAATGTATTAGCATATCATCTGACATACCGTATACCGTGTGTGTGTGTGTGTGTGTACGCTAAAAGTTGATTCCCTTTAGCAAATTTCAAGTATTTTCAACAACATAGATGAACTTAGAGGGCATTATGCTAAGTGAAATAAGCCAGGCACAGAAAGACACATATTGCATGATCTCATGAATCTGTGGAACCTAAAAACGTTTAACTTAGAGAAAGAGCGTAGAATGATAATTGGCAGGTACTTAGGGGCAGGGGAAAAGGGATGTTGTTGGGCACAGGCTTTCAGTTAAACAATGAATAAATTCTAAAAAGGTAACATGCAGCATGGTTAATATAGTGAGTAATGATATGTTAGATGCTTCATGGGTTTAAAGACAGTGTTCATTCCCGCTTCCTATTCACAGGGGTTAGAAAGTCTCTTGAATAGCACACAAACACACACACACACACACACACATGCACACACCATTTGCTCCCTTATCTTTACTTGACATTGATTTGGAAAGCACTAGACATATTGTTTGCTCTTATGTGTTCTATAAAATAAACCAAGTGAGATTTCTTAAATTGTATTGACTAACATGAGGGCCTCCACTCTCCAAAGTAAGCTGCTAAGTCAGACATCCAAGATGCTCAGGATGGAGCCCTTAGGTGTTTCCAGAGTTGACTCTCAGCACCTGGCAGATCATGTACCCGGGTCATCTACACCGTAGCTCCTCCGCCACTCCTTACCCTGTTTTGATACAGTCGGTCTGGAAAGTCTTGATTCCTCCTGCCACAATACTCCTATGAAGCTTGTGCTTCTCAGGAGCTCCAGACTAATACCCCCAACTGCACACCTCATGTGCCAAGGCACCTCACCCTTGAGGAAAATTGTAACCTTCCCCCCAAGTCTGAGTGCACTCATCCATTCTCTGGTCCCTTACCTTAGTCCCCATGATCTGGCCCTGCCTCTTCCTCCAGGGGCCCTCCCTGCCACTTGTCCAGCCATTCTACCCTCCAGGCCTGCTGACATTCTGGATGTTCTTAGAATAGGTCCCTTGCTAGAGATGTCTGTGTTTCCTCCAGGGAATTTGCCCCTCCTCACAGTCCATGTGATGGGAAACGAGTGGCTATCTATCCCACTCTCCTCCAGGACTTCCTTAGCCTGTTCTTGATGAGTGGACTGAGCTTCCAACTCTACTTCGTATCTCACCTGGGACACAGCATGCCTTTGTTTGCATATTTCCATTACCCTCTGGGAAGTGATCACTGCAGGAGCCGACCGTGTCTGTCTTATTCATCTTTGTGCCTCAGTATCTAACCCAGTGCAGTCACTTAGATGATAATCCAACAGAATACATGCAGTCTTTCTTCCACCCTGTAATCTAAATTAATCTTTCCTTTAACTAGGCTCAAAGATGTAAGTCTGAGATCCTTAATATTCTCCGCACAACTGCCTTATATTAGACTTTATTGCATGCATGTTGGCTAAGAGAATATCAAACTCTTATAACAAAACTTAGCATGAGATATTGCATCTAGGAAGCACTCATCTGCAAAATGGTGGACTAAATAACAAGCACTGCATCAAACCATGGTTCTGTATATTAAAGAGAATAAAAATTGAAAAAACACATCTTGTAAATGTATTATAAACATTGATTAGTGATTAAATACTTAATTATTTAATGATTAAACTGCTAATTCATACTAAAATGCTTTATGAATTATCTTTATGATAGGATGTTATTACAGTGCTCCCAGAATTTATGTGGAAAATACTATTTGTTTTCAAATAGAAAACTTGAAGCTACCTATCATCATTCATCCAAAAGTTCTGGGTTTCTGTTAAGTGCCAGGATCTCTGCCAGACACTGGGAAACAGCAGTGAATAATTTAGACTCAGACCTTCTCCTAGGTCCAGGGAGACTGATTAGAAAACCAGGACATTAAAAGAGCATGTAGACTGATTAATGAAAGCAGAAAAAGTAGTCTGAACCTAGCCTTGGGTGGTCAGGGCAGGCACCGTCCAAGTAGAAGTGGCATTAAATCCTTGAAATATAGCAGGAAAATATCTTACTCTTGGGGAAAAAAAGCCAACTTTGGAGAAGTCCTAATCTCCAAGGTGACTGGGCCAACCTACATATGCTTCGGTGTGACTTTACAGCCCTTAAAGTAAGTCTAATCAGAGCAAACATGCAACAACAAATTAACACCTCATGTATGAGCCTGCTTGACTTCATATTTTTTGGGGTGAGTTTTTGTAGCACAATTACCTTTATACTTTGAAGAAACTAAAGGAAAAAAATCATATTTAAGAAATGCCATCTTCAATAAAATAGTATTAACATTTAAATCATTAGGGGATAAACGCCATATATTTTTGCATGAATTATTTCACCTGAATATTACAGCTCCATTTTACCATTTCAAAAATACCCTTTTCTAAGACGTAGGCCTTTCCAATCCCAAAGCCAGTGCCTTCAGTTTGCATACTATCTCCTTCCGGTGAATGGGAATTGTGACTTGCCCCCTCTCATTAAATGCACACTCAAGAATCAATAGTGCTAACAAAAAAGGTCAAGGTGTTTAAATATACATTTAATATTTAAAGAGAATATTAAAACAAGGCCTAAAATTTTTAAGACTTAAAATTTATAATTGGTTAACTCGATTTACATAGTCTTAATCTCAAATGTTTGCAATAAAAAACTCAAATACATACTACCTAGATGCAATTAAAGTTTGAAAACTTTTGGTATGTTGATCCAGAAAGCAAAGAGGATTGAAGCTATGAAAACAGAAGGAAAGGGTATTAACACAGGTAATGGTAAGTCCAGGGACAGGAGGAAAATGTTGAAAAGGAAGACTTCCTTTCACTTTCCAGTAAGATTTCACACACTCTAAGCAAAGAGTAAGTGATACATGCCTTCTATAAATATTCATCTTAAAATGTAGCATGTTGCTTTGGTCATAGGTCTATGCTTATTTTTGCATAATCTGAAGTTGATGAACCCTTTATTCAAGGTTGCTAATGTTTCATGTGTCCATTTATAAACTCTCTAAGTCCTAAAAGAGCATCTTTTAAAATGACTAGACAATGCTTCTTTCCAAGCCTTTCCAAGGCTAATTTAAAAAATGAAACCCATCATTTCTTCCTCAGAATATGTTTCTCCTTGCGATTGGGCTTAACATGGTAGCCCACATTGCTGTCACACAGACCCTTGCTTGCAAGTCATGAGTGGTTCCTATGTTCTTCCTTCCCCCAATGCCTACTTGGCTGCCAAGTCTGGCAGACATAACTTTGCAATACTCCAATACCCGCCAGCTGCCCCCTGGCTCAGGAGGCACCATCATCATTGCTTGATCCCCAGGGGAGAGCTTGATCATTTCTCCTGTTTCTCTGGATCTCAGGAAGAAAGGGACCCTCCAAACACTTAAGCTATCTCCACCCCTTTACTACACCTTTGCAGGTACATAGAGTGACTTTCTTGATTGGTACCTTTGGGAAGACTCAGCAGGCTTACATGGCTCAGTCCCGATTTCCTCTCCTGTGGAAGCAAGCTACTCTCCAGGCAGCCTTTGAGGTGTGTTCCACCTCTGCAGGGGATGCCTGTGCTGGTCCAGCACTGTGGAGACCAGGCTAAGTCCAACTGATGCTGGTCCTTCCCAGCCCACTCACCTGTCTCTCACACAAAACTGTATTCTCCAATGCAATTGTTATTAGGAAGAAAGGTGATTTGTCTAAATCTCCAATATGCCTTCTTGGTTTTGTTTTTTTCAATTTGTATTGAACTTGGACGTGAAGGTGGGTTCTCTTTTATTTATTGGGTACCATCTTAGAAATCCCAAACATCTCTATTTCTGTGAGAAAAATATTCAGTCTTCTTAAACTTTAACAACCTGAGAGGCACTAACATTATTAAAGAATGCATTCTCGGCCGGTCGCCGTGGCTCACGCCTGTAATCCCAGCACTTTGGGAGGCCGAGGCGGGCAGATCACGAGGTCAGGAGATCGAGACCATCCTGGCTAACATGGTGAAACCCCGTCTCTACTAAAAAAAAGTACAAAAAAATTAGCCAGGCACGGTGGCGGGCGCCTGTAGTCCCACCTACTCGGGAGGCTGAAGCAGGAGAATGGCATGAACCCGGGAGGCGGGGCTTGCAGTGAGCCGAGATCGCGCCACTACACTCCAGCCTTGGGCGACAGAGGGAGACTCCGTCTCAAAAAAAAAAAAAAAAAAAAAAAAAAAAAATGCATTCTCCGAGGTCAGTCAGACCAGGGTTTGATTGGAAGCACAATGACTTTGGACAAGTGGCTTGACCTCTTTAAGTGTCAGATTGGCATCTTTAAAATAAAAACCACCCACCACATAGGATTTAATGCAATAAAAGTCACACTGTGCTTAGCACAGTTCCTAATACATAATAAGCATTCTTTACATGATAACCAATAAATTAAAAATCAGCTTTTTAGTTTAATATTTATGACCTTCCAAAATATACTCCTAATCTATATATCCAGCCTCCTCCCCCACTAGTCCTTCACCAAGGCCATTCATTTAGGAACGATTCATCAGACACCTACTGTGTGTTTTGGTTTCAACAAGACCTTGAAAATATGGCAAATCAGACACAATCTCTGTTCTGAAAATGTTCTTTGGTTTGGTAAAGGGAAATACAGAAATAAATGTGTAAGAGCAAGCATTATATATACTTTCTAAATATACATATAGTATATGTCTGTATTTATATTTTAATGGAAGTATCATAATTTTATACTCACAGTAGAGAACAAAGGAGGGTAGAGTTCACATTAAATTAAACCAGAAGAAGGAAAAAGCAGAGGATGTGATACCAGAACAACATCTTGAAGATGCATAGGCATTCCTGAGGTATTCAAAGACATTCTAGCAAACAGCAGAATCAGCAGGCATAGAAACACACCCAGCTTGAGAGTTTGAAGAAATACAAGTAGTTCGTGGTCTCAAATTTTAATGTGCAAATGTGTCTCCTGTGTGTCTTGCTTAGTAATGTAGATTTTCAGTATACACACCCAGAAATTGACACAGTAGACCTAGGATAGGGCTTGAACATGACTAGTTTATGGTCATGACTATGTACAAATATACATAGTTATGGCCGGGCACGGTGGCTCATGCCTGTAATCCTAGGACTTTGGGAGGCCAAGGCAGGCAAATCACGAGATCAGGAGTTTGAGACCAACCTGGCCAACATGGTGAAACCCCATCTCTACTAAAATTACGAAACATTAGCTGGGCATGGTGGTGGGCGCCTGTAATCCCAGCTACTTGGCAGGCTGAGGCAGGAGAATCGCTGGAACCCAGGGGCAGAGGTTGCAGTGAACTGAGCTCATGCCATATATATATATATATACACACACACTATATATATATATAGTATAATTTACACACAATACAATGCACACATTTTAAATGTACTATTCAATGTGTTTCGGAAAATATTAACGTGTAGCCACTGCTCACTCACATTATAGAATTTTTCTAGCACCTGTATTTTTAACAGCAACTACATAGATGACACTGGAGTATAAGGCAATGAAGTTTATAGAGAACTTCAGATTGAAGGGATTGCAGAGGGCAGATTATGTGGGGACCCTGTATGCTCAGCTGAGGAATGTGGAAAGCCCTCCATGACCGTCCAGTGGAGATGCTTTCCAACCACATCTTAGGCTGCCCTGCTTTCACACTGATGATTATGGCAGTCCTCTACCTGAAACACTCATTGTCTCCTCCACCCACCTCTGCCTACGGGCAGACATGCTACCTATGCACAAGAACTGTATCAAATAACACATTTTGACAATAAAGAACAATGGGGAGGAGCTTTGAAGAGATGAATCACTGAGGAAAAAATACATATAATGGAGCTCTTAATTCTATGAAAAGATGTTCAATGTCACTCATTAGAAAAGAAAGATAATATGTTGTTGACAGCCGGGCACGGTGGCTCACGCCTGTAATCCCAGCACTTTGGGAGGATGAGACGGGCGGATCACATGAGGTCAGGAGCTCAAGACCAGCCTGGCCAATATGGTGAAACCTCGTCTCTAATAAAAACACAGAAATTAACTGAGCGTGGTGATGCATGCCTGTAATCTTGGCTACTCGGGAGGCTGAAGCAGGAGAATCGCTGGAACCCGGGAGTCGGAGGCTGCAGTGAGCCAAGATTGTGCCACTGTACTCTAGCCTGGGTGACAAAGCAAGACTCTGTCTCAAAAAAAAAAAAAAAAAAAAGTTGTTGAGATACCATTTCTCACCAAATAGGTGGAATCATCAAAAATTTAGAAGTTTGGCAATAAGCTTTGTGGCACATCTGTGGGGAAACAGGAACTCTCAAATATTCCTGAGGGAGATGCAAAATAGTACAACCACCATGGGCAGAAATTGGGTCATGTCTAGCAAAATTGTGATAGCAAGATTTTATAGACATGTATAGTTTGACCTACCCATCACCATTCTGGGACTATATCCAAAAATCCATTGCCAAAAATATATGAAACTTGCACACAGGTATTTGGTGCAGCATATTTATAACAAAAGACTGGAATTTTCTCCAATGTTCATTAATGGGGAGCAATAAAACCATGCCACAATTGCAAATGGACTACTATGCCATCAGGAAAAGGAATGAGGACTGCTTGTAGGCCCTTGTAGGAAATAACCTCTGAAACATATTGTTAAATGGAAAAACAAGGTGAAGGAAAACATTATAGTATAAAACTATCCATCTAAGAAAGGAAATAATAAAAATACACACATAGACATATTTTCTTATATTAACATAGTTCATAAATTATGTTTTTCTATAGTAAACCTAAAATACAAATATTTTCTTACATTAACATAAACATTTTTATACTCAAAATAATGAAAGGATAAAAAATTAATAAATTACTACCTTGAAAGGTAGAGAAACAAGTGAAGGAAACAGGGAAAAAAGCCAGATGTCTCTGTACCTTGTTTTGTAAATTTGATTTTAGAATCATTTAATATTTTATATAATTATGAAAATGGGAAGCAAAATTGGGTATCAATTTGGTAGTACAACTGCTCAGAAAGAATTTTTTTTTTTTTTTTTTGAGATGGAGTCTCACTCTGTTGCCCAGGCTGGAGTGCAGTGGCACAATCTTGGCTCACTGCAACCTCTGGCTCCCGGGTTCAAGTGATTCTCCTGCCTCAGCCTCCCAAGTAGATGGGATTACAGGTGCCTGCCACCACACCCAGCTAATTTTTTTTGTATTTTTAGTAGAGATGGGGTTTCACCATGTTGGCCAGGCTGGTCTCAAACTCCTAACCTCAGGTGATCCTCCCGTCTCAGCCTCCTAAAGTGCTAGGATTACACGGGTGAGCCACTGTGCCTGGCCCAGAAAGAAATTTGATTGACTATTCGTTCCTAGTGAGATATGCCCTAGGAACCAGGAAAAAAAATTTAACCTGTTTTCAGAAAACACTGCCACTGGTAGTATTTATGTTGTAATTTTGAGGCTGTTGAGTGCACTTCTTTGGATAAAAGAGATGAGAAACGATAGTGGTTTCTTCGATAGAGGGGATGTTCAGTGTGGGTGAACCTCGGTCTATTGAGGAAGTTAAGAAAAGCATCTGTGGTTCTGAATTTGAATTGAAGCATCAGTATGAACTTATGAAATATTTTATCTTAGAAACATTTCCTAGCTCAGCTAACTGATAAATCATAGAAAATCGAGACCAACTAAGTAGCAAAGATTACCCTTCTGTTTTCAAATGAGGTCTTTAAATAGGAAACCAGGGTTCCTTGTGTACACAACTAAGAATAACAAGATCTAAGAGAGGTATGTAAATGCGCATACACATACACACACACACATACACACATACACACACAATATGAAGACAAAAACAGGGATATAACTATAAGGGATATTTGTAAAATACCAGGAAAGAATATTCTTACCAATTATATGCCAATAATAGTTGAAGAAATTATACTTTACCAAAATACTCAGGTTATAAAAAGACTTTACTAGATTTTCAAAAAATACATTTTGTGTAGTCAAAACACAGCTATTCAAAACTATACGGATGTAACTTAAAATATAGATTATTCACCTCCACATGGTTAAAATTGTGGGTAATTTTTATATGCTTCTTCTTGCTTAGAAGCATTTTTAAATTCTTAAGTATACACATATATATGCAGTCAAAAATGAGTAAACCATTAGAAATTGACTTTTACAAATTTTGAAATATACAATACATTATTATTAACTGTGGTCACCAGGCAATTAATAAAAATTGAAAAATAGTAAAACAAAATAATACAAGTTATTTTTAAAAACCCATTTTTAGGATAGATTTTGTTCCTTAACTTTCTTAGCTTATATTAATGGTAATTTTTTTAATTTAATTTTTTTATTATACTTCAAGTTTTAGGGTACATGTGCACAATGTACAGGTTTGTTACATATGTATACATGTGCCATGTTGGTATGCTGCACCCATCAACTCGTCATTTAACATTAGGTATATCTCCTAATGCTACCCCTCCTGCCTCCCCCAACCCCACAACAGGCCCTGGTGTGTGATGTTCCCCTTCCTGTGTCCAAGTGTTCTCATTGTTCAATTCCCACCTATGAGTGAGAACATGCGGTGTTTGGTTTTTTGTCCTTGTGATAGTTTGCTGAGAATGATGGTTTCCAGCTTCATCCATGTCCCTACAAAGGACATGAACTCATCCTTTTTTATGGCTGCATAGTATTCCATGGTGTATATGTGCCACATTTTCTTAATCCAATCTATCATTGTAGGACATTTGGGTTGGTTCCAAGTCTTTGCTATTCTGAATAGTGCCGCAATAAACATACGTGTCCATGTGTCTTTATAGCAGCAGGATTTATAATCCTTTAGGTATATACCCAGTAATGGGATTGCTGGGTCAAATGGCATTTCTAGTTCTAGATACCTGAGGAATCGCCACACTGACTTCGACAATGGTTGAACTAGTTTACAGTCCCACCAACAGTGTAAAAGTGTTCCTATTTCTCCACATCCTCTCCAGCACCTGTTGTTTCCTGACTTTTTAATGATTGCCATTCTAACTGTATCTCATGGTGGTTTTGATTTGCATTTCTCTGATGACCAGTGATGATGAGCATTTTTTCATGTGTCTTTTGGCTGCATAAATGTCTATTAATGGTAATTCTACAGTTCTGCTCATGACAGCCTATTGCTGAGAATCACTCAATTTAACTTCTGGAGACTCAAGTGTACTTAAAGTACTGTCTGACAAGATTGCCCCACTTCACCCAGAAAATCCGGTTCCCGTTTGGCTTCGGTACCTAAAACACCTCACACAGCCTGCCCTCCCTCTTGCAGGTCTCCCTCCTCCTATGGCTCCTCACCAGTGTGTTCTGTTCCCCCTAAGCTGGAGAAGACACACTCTTCCACCTCGGCTCTTCTTTAGCAATGGGATCCTAGCCCAGCTGGCTCACTTGTCCAAACCTCAATTGCTTCAAAAGAGACAGCAACCTGGGGCGAAGCTTAAAGATGGAGTTTTCTGTAAAGCAACTAGCTGCCTTCCTGGCCCAAAGCAGATACTGAATACATTGTAGTTAATTTCACTGTTGGCTACAAAGGGGCATGGAAGAGCGTTTAGCACAGCTCCTCTGACCAGTCTCCCACTGAGCTAAGTGTCACAGAGACTAAAGTAAAAGTCACTGAAAAATATCGAAGCTGGAAGGGACACAGCTTTTCTTAGCACAATGGTGGAACTTCACCCCTTTGAAAGCCAGCAATGCATGGATTGCCATCCAGTGTGAGTGTGTGTATATGCCTGTGTGTATAAGTACATTATTTATGCCCAAGCATTGGGCTACAATTCCTGTCATCTTTTGCCTGGAATAGAGGAGAACATTGGGGGCCAGTGGTAAGTTGAGCCCACCCGCATTAAAAACATTTGACCCTGTCACAGTATCACCCAAATAAAACAACAGGAAAGGCCAGGCCCTTGCCTGCCATGTCTCTGGAGCTCCAGCCAAGCTGAGAATGGTAACACCGTTATAAAAAATTGACAGCACGCAACTCAGTAACAATAGTTCAGAGAAAATATCCCTTTCATAATAATCTTATTAGGGGAAGAAAGTATTTTTTTGTCTCTCCTTTGTGAGGAGCAATTTATTTTTATGGGTAGTGAAAGGAAATAAATTTTCCTAAAATGGTTCCTTTGTGGATCAGGGTCCACACAGCTCATTCTGCATTTATAGATAAGCAAAAGATCAATTGAATGGTATGTCATTTATATTGCTGCGTGCTTAGACATTGCACAGTGCAGTGTGGGGAGAGAACTGGCTGACTACTTCAACTCTTCTTCCAGCTATCTTTCCAGACTCGATTGAGGGCAGATTTCTGTGCCAGAGGCTGTCAGAGAAAACACCTATCAATCACCTGTCATAAGGCATTTGTTTTGCTGGTGGAATTTAATTCACTGTAGGAGATTAGAATGTGTTGCTTTTGTCACCATGCAAAATATACAGATAATTTTTCGGGCACACACTTGACAGGTTCCAAAGGAGTGGCATATGTGCCTGTGAATGATGTCTTGGTCCTGTGCTGCTGAGGCCATGTCAACAGTTCCTTAAACTTTAAGCAGAGACTTCTTGGGAGACAATGGAGAGAATTGAGGTCTACCACCCATTCTAGGGAAGAGACAGCGGGTTGTCAAACTCCGTTCTTCTCCAGACACCCACAGTGTGAAATCACAGCTGTCATGTAGGAGTTTCCTCGCTTTCCTGACCACATGGCTCATTTATTTAACAAATATTTAACTAGTAGACAGCATGCACAAGACTCTACATGCCAGACCCAGAAAGGACCCTGCCCTTAAAACGTTTAATTTCTAATAGAGGCAGGAGGGAGGATTAATTCAATAAGTGTGGAATGTCTTTTGTATGTGCACTTCGAGACTCTAGCAGGAAAAGCAACAAGAAAGGTCATTAATTCTGAGCAAGCACCTAGGATGGCTCAAGCAATATATGGTAACAGGCATCTGTACAACATTTTTTCATTTTATCTTCATAAATATTATCTCCATTTCTTCAGGTAAGAAAAACAAGACTCAAAGAGATCTTGGCCATAAGAGGCTATATCAGGATCTAAACCTGGATCGTCATATTTCAAATTCGAGGGCACTTTTTTGTGCCGCATGCTGCATTCAAAAGTAAAGTGAAAAAAAACAGGCATAGAATTTCTATGGGATGGGAGGCTGCCAGTGAGAGTTAGGGGAGGTGGGGTTAGGAGGTAGGTGTGGATGGGGGAGGAGGGGGGTGTGTGCACAGTGGGGAGTGGAAGGGATGTGGTGGGAGGTGGGAGAGGGCTGGGGTGGGAGGCAGGGCTGAGGCTGGGCATGCTCAGAGAGTTCAGAGGATGCAGCCGTTAATTTGAGTGCTAAAAAGTCACAGGATATAAAGGCAAACAGGTAGGTTCTGAGGATAAGGAAAGTGTAGGGCTGCTCTGTTGGACAGCAGTGACCCTCTCTGCACCCAGCCAGTGTTCTTGTTTTGTTTTGTTTTGTTTTGTTTGAGTTGGAGTCTCGCTCTGTCACACAGGCTGGAGTGCAATGGCACGATGTCGGCTCACTGCAACCTCCGCCTCTCGGGTTCAAATGATTCTCCTGCTTCAGCCTCCTGAGTAAATGGGATTACAGGCATGTGCCACCACACCCAGCTAATTTTTGTATTTTTAGTAGAGACAGGGTTTCACCATGTTGGCCAGGCTGGTCTCGAACTCTTGACCTCGTGATCCGCCCACCTCGGCCTCCCAAACTGCTGGGATTACAGGCGTGAGCCACCGCGCCCAGCCGCCAGTGTTCTTTTAATGTGGCAAAGAAACTAATGAAAGTGAGTACTTCTCTCCCTCCCGCTGAGACAGCCCAGCTCCTGGGAGGAGCACAGGGGTGGCAGGTGCCCCAGAACAGAAGGGCATGGCTGTCAGCTCTGACCAGTCCCAGCTCCTGAGTTCTCCCCATGATCCCTGTGCTTGAACCTCCCCGCTCCTCCTCCCCGCTCCTCCTCCCCGCTCCTTCATGCCCATCTCTCCACCTCCTACCTTGGGCCCCTGCAGCAGCCCTTTGCCTCTCTGCCCCTCACACTTTGTTCACCTCTCCCCAGGTGACCTTCCAAACTCTCTTCAGTCCTGACCTCTCCCTCCCGACCTTCTGAAATGTCACCTCTGACTATGAGTCACTGCTGTGAGTACTCCTCCTGTTTCCCCAGCTTAGTTCAAATCCAAATTTCATATCACCTGGCCTACAGTGGTCTCTTACTAGCTTCTCCTGGTTCACTCTTCAAGCCCATGCAAAGGTGTTGAAACTGTGTCCACATGCATTATGCATTTCCCTTATTGTTCTGTGAGGTCTTCTAGAGAGAGACCTGGTGTGGTTCATATTTGCAATCCAAGCATCTAGCACTCTAAGCTCTCAATGATGCCTGTGAGATGAATAATTTGTCCTGTGCCCTCAGCCTGTCCTGCACACAGCTGCAAATCCATTTTTTAACACCCTGCTGTAAAATCCGATGGCTGCCCATTGCAGAGAGTTTAGAGCTTAAATTCCATAGCCTTCCATTTGTAGACACTCACAAACTGTTCCTGGTGAACCCTTCCAGTCCTGTCTTCTACAACTTTCCAGAAGTAATTTTTTATTCCAGCAAATTCTGTCCCACCCTGCCCCATCACACTTCTACTTTCTTTTTTTTTTGAGAAGGAGTCCTATTCTGTCACCCAGGCTGGAATGCAGTGGCATGATCTCGGCTCACTGCAACCACCGCCTCCTGGGTTCAAGCCATTCTCCTGCCTCAGTCTCCTGAGTAGCTGGGACTACAAGCACGCATCACCATGCCCAGCTAATTTTTGTATTTTTAGTAGAGGCAGGGTTTCACCATGTTAGCCAGGCTGGTCTTGAACTCCCAACCTCAGGTGATCCTCCCGCCTCGGCCTTCCAAAGTGCTGGGATTACAGACGTGAGCCACTGCGCCCGGCCCATACCTCTCCTTTCTTGCCTGCCTTTACTGTGCCCTCTCCTCTTTTCTTCCTAATTCAATTTGTACCTCATTCCCAAGTCCTTACAGATTTCCGTAGCCTTAAGTCATTGCTCCCCTTCCTGAACTCTGTTGCCATTGAGGTCTAAAACACACACACATCTTTCACCAATTGCCTTTTCCCTTAAAACATCCTTGATGGGACTCAGGCTTTTCTCTGTCATTAGACTGTAAACACTCGTGAGGACCAGGCCCCTGTTCCACATGATCTTTGCATTTCCAGCGTGTTCTGCAGAATGCTCAATAAAGCTGTTATTCTATTATCACCTCCCAGAACTTACAAATCAGAATCATTCAAAATGCACCCTTTCTTTCTTGCATGAGTCAGATTCTGATCATTATTCAACAAGCACCACAATGCAAGTCAACTCAGATACAGCATGCCAAGGTTTTGTGAGGCTTCTTCTGAGCTGGCCATGTCTCCAGGGCACATACCTGCTCTGACTAGCAAACTTTGCTGGTGTATGGCATTGCAACAGTAGGGTCAGTCAGGGACTGTAATTCCATTACAGTGCTTGATATCTATAGTGGGAGCCACTTGTTCTTTTTGAGCAAATTTTTAAAAGTAGCTTTTTTGTCATTGGAAGAAGTTGCTGAGTCAGCAGTTGGTCCACTTTTCCATTTATGTCATTTCACTTCATATTAAAACTCATTTTATACTTTTGATACACGATGTCCCAGATAGTAAGTGGTCTATGCTAGAACATGCTGCCTGATGGATGGTACACTGACTTTCTCAGCTTAATTAAATATCTACCTCGAGGGATTAGAGCCAAGCAGCCACTGAAGCTTGAAATCCTACCCACCTGCTTCTGCATACTTTATGCACCTGAATGGCCAGACTGAAATGCCTCAAAGAAAGAAGGCTGTTGTTGTAAAAAGAGGTTGCATTACCTGCGCATCCAGTGGAATGGATTTTCATCATGCTGAAAATCTTAAGCTGGGCAAGACCTTAGGAACCTTGCAAGGGGAGAAAGGTGAATGGGAAGTTCCACTGACTTTGCAAACTAATCTCTTCCTGAACACTGATACTAGGGCAAACTCCCTGCTTCTTAACCATTTTAAAAAGAAATCCAGAAATTATGAAAGAGAATGGAATTTCAATCTCAGCCTCTTTTAACTCTTTAGACACCTGCACAATTCCTCCCAGACAATAACCTTGTGTTTTAGGGTCTCACACTAGTATCAGGTGTTCTTAAGTCCAAGATTTCCAGATGCATAAAAAGTGCTGACTAATACTAGTAAATCAGTCATGTTATTGCCCACGTTTCTCTAGCAGTGAGAAGAAGACAGCAGAGAGAGGAAATAGCTGAACATCCAGGGGTCCATGACACTTATGGTTTTCTAAACTGTATACTGGAAGCCTCTCTCTTATAGCCTGCTTTACCTTGGCAGTGGTTCATCCTTGCAATATCCCAATCTTAAAAAAAAAAAAAAAAAAAAAAAAAAAAAAACCGTGCAAGTAAAACCTTCAAAACTGGTCATCTCTTGGTTGAAGAAGAATATGACACTTCTGGGAGTGCATTTTCAAACATACACATTATTCTTTCCTCTGTGCTCTACACCACTTGGTGTATTGTGTAATCATGGCTTAATCGCTCTGAGTTCACAACATCTTGAGCTCAGGAATTATATCTAAAACCATTGTTGTACCCTTGGTTTAGTCTAGTGTTTGATACACAGTAGGTCTTCAATACCTATTTTTTTAATGCACTAATGGATTGATTTTTTGTTTGTTTTTTTGAGACAAAGTCTCTGTCGCGCAGGCTGGAGTGCAGTGGCGTGATCTCAGCTCACTGCAACCTCCACCTCCCAGGTTCAAGCGATTGTCCTGCCTCAGCCTCCCAAATAGCTGGGATTACAGGCGCCTGCCACCATGCCCAGCTAATTTTTGTGTTTTTAGTAGAGACGGGGTTGTACCATGTTGGCCAGGTTGGTCTCAATCTCCTGACCTCAGGTGATCCACCCGCCTCGGCCTCCCAAAGTGCTGGGATTACAGGCGTGAGCCACTGTGCCCGTCCACGGATTGATTTTTATAACTGAATTAGACAGGAGATAATTAGGAGTGAGACTTCAGGTTATTTGTAATACTTGCTCTTTTGTAATACTGAAGCACGGTGGATATCAGCTTTGAGGAACATGTCAAAGCATTTAAAAGGTTTTCTCAAATTTCTCTGATGATAAGAATCATTTACGATTTGAAGTATAAGTTAGATTAGACCATGTAAAATTGTTGTTTTCATAGATCATAAATAGCCATGTACTGGCAATTTCATATGGTTGAAACTATACAATTGAAGAGTTCCATTTTCATGTTTCTAGGACTCTCCCTCCCTAGAGACTTTGAGGTAGTGGATCTGGTTTGAGGCCCAGAAATGGATTCTCATTAATAAGATATTTTGGGAAACATCAAATTAGATATGTAAGAGTTATTTTTTAGGATTAATACAGCTGGATTTCTAAGGAATACAATGTTTAGGTCAATATTTTATTACCAGAGTGTAAAAAGGGCCAACGTCTTTCCCAAGAGTGATTGAATGCTGCCAGGACATGGTGAATGCCAGCGTGATGACTGGTTGAGTGAATCTGGGTATCTCATGTGGACTCTCTGAGCCTCAGTTCCTTTCCTGCAGAATTGGGACCAGAGAACCCACCTCCAAGGACAGTGAGGATACAGGATATGGACTATAGGCTCAGGGCCTAACATGCAGTGGATGCCCATGAGCAGCTCCAGAAGAGGCCTTGGGATCTGGGCTGCTCATTCTAAATGAGCCCCTGTGGCTGACCCAAGATTACTCACAGACCCTTGCTGGGAACCCACAGTAAGTTCCTTCCTACCCCAGAGTTGTACCTACTGCACCCGTCAACGTCTACTCCCCCTGTTATGCCCTGCCCACCCTTCCCCTGGGCTGCCTGTCTTAGTAACTGCCCCATTTTAACTCTGTCCTTTGGCTCCCACTGTTCATCTGCCCCCACTTCTACCCTCAAACTCTCTTTCTGCTGATAAGTTAAGATTCTGTTTTGCGTGCTTTTCTGTTTTAATCTTGGCATCCATCCAAGGGCATGGCTTTTGTATTTTCTTCTCTGGCTTCCTGTACCACAACCTTGGGTTATGGAGGGCCCCCTATTTGGATCCACTGGCCTTGCTTGCTAAGTCTGTGATATGGCTTGGATGTTTGTACCCTCCAAATCTCATGTTGAAATCTGACCTCCAATGTTGGAGGTGGGCCTGGCGGGAGGTGTTTGAGTCATAGAGGCTGATCCTCCTGAATGTCTTGGTGGTGTCCTTGCTGTAATGAGTGAGTTCTCACTCTATGAGTTCCCACAAGAGCTGGCTGTTTAAAAGGTCATAGTATTTCCTCCTCTTTCCCTCGTTCTCCCTCTCTTGCCATGTAACAGCTGCTCCCCCTTCACCTTCTGCCATGAGTAAAAGCTTCCTGAGGCCTCACCAGAGGGCAAGCAGATCCTGGCACCTTGCTTGTGTAGCCTGCAGAACCATGAGCCAAATAAACCTCTTTTCTTTATAAATTACCCAGCTTCACGTATTCCTTTTTTTTTTTTTTTTTTTTTGAGATGGAGTCTTGCTCTGTCTCCCAGGCTGGAGTGCAATGGCGTGGTGCAATCTCGGGTCACTGCAACCTCTGCCTCCCAGGTTCAAGCAATTCTCTGCCTCAGCCTCCTGAGTAGCTGTCACTACAGGCACCTGCCACTGCACCCAGCTAATTTTTGTATTTTTTAGTAGAGACAAGGTTTCGCCATGTTGGCCGGGCTAGTCCCAAACTACTGTCCTCAGGTGATCCACCTGCCTCAGCCTCCCAAAGTGCTGGGATTACAGGCATGAGCCACTGTGCCCAGCCTCAGGTATTCTAGGAACACAAAATGGACTGACACCATCTGCCTATTGCCTTATTCTCCCTCTCCTGGTTCAGGCAGGGACATCTTCCATGGGCTATGATTTTCCAAACAGATGACCCTGTGGTAACTGAGCCTGTCAACAGGATGCCAACCCCAAGAAGCTCTTTGAACTTAAATGGGAGAGAGGAGAGAGAGGCAAACCTCCAGGCTATGACATAGCAAAGGTGAAACTTGAAAGAAAAAGCTTTTAGTAGGAGATCCTCCTTGAGAGCTACTAGGGCTTACTTACTCACTTAAGATAACCCCTCCCAAGAACAGGAAGATATAGTTAGAGCCATTTCCAACCCTGGTTCCTGTGTACGTGGCTCCTTCCCAAAGATCCACATGCATGGACATGGGGAGATGATAAGAGCAGTACAGTGTTACTTTTAAGATTTATACTGCCTCAATACTTAGGCTGGCACCCCATGTACCAGCTGCATGACATTGGGCAAGCAAATTCACTACTCTGATCCACTCTGGACTTCAATAATTAGTGACTCCCCCATCCATCTGAAAGATGGGAATAATGGCCATCCTCATCTTGCAACATTATTGTAGGTGTTAAATAATGTCATAGACATAAGCTACTTAGAACAATGCCTGGCATACAGGAAGAACTCAATAAATATTAATGTATTATTATCACTCACATCTCTATAATTGCCAATTAATCTTTCTTTTCATATTTTTATACATCAAAATGATAAAAGCCAGAAAAAAGTGAATCTCCATGAAATCTCAGGATTCTTGTGGGTGACAATCTGAAGGGTCAGATATGGGACCTTGGTGAGACCTAGTAGACTAGACTAATTCTCCTTGTCTTGATTTCCCCTCCAGTAAAGGGAATAATAATAATCCATTGTGAAGTTATAAAATAAGATTGGAAAAACCTAGCCCAAAGAAGGTAACCAAACCCTGTTAATCCTCTCTCTTTCCCCAAGCTGGCATGTTCCCTGTGAAGGCCAACATGGTATCATCTCTCTCTCTCTCTCTCTGGTGCCCTTGAGACCTTCTTGCTGCAATCATCAGTGATTGTCCCTCGGTATCCTTGCTTCTCCTGCACTGCTGAACTAGGTCCAATCATGCTCTTTGTCCTCATGAGGCCTGCCACCACTGTCACTTGAGGCAGCATGGCCTTCATCACAGCTGGGGCTCTGAAGCTGCTGTTGCTTGGTTAGCAATAGTCTTTCTCCCCACCATTGCAGTTCTAATCACTTTCTCCACCAAGGTGACCACGTACTTGGTGCTTCCTATAGAAATCCCCGAATCCATCTTTATTAAGTGTGTTTTCCCAATATCGTACCATCTGTCCTCTCTGGGGGCTCAGGCCTTAGAGCTGAGAAGTAGACCTTCCTGGGTGGTGGCTCTCAGCATGGCAGTACCACACATCCTCAACTGTGCCTTCAACTTCCATAGTATAGTTTCCCCTGGGTATCTAGGTGAGGTCAAGGGCGGCCTGTCCTTATTTATTCATTCAATCTTCTTAATTGAAGGGCCAATCTCTAGTTCTCACATGAACATTTATTTTCCTTTCCAGAAGGCTGCTTGCAACAGCCTGGCCATGACAGCTTTCTTAGGGTGACATCCAAAGAGCTTGCTACCTTAAGAGGGGGCAATCAAATTTAATATCAAGATCTGTATTTACAACTCATCAAAGCTATGTAATCATGGTACTATTTCTAAACGAAAATTGTTTTCTCTCAAGTTACAAATTGTCCCCACATCTTACCAGGTATGCAAGTCTGTGACCATGAAATCTCTATCCTACATCTAACTTTACTGACGGCTCAATAATAATTTCGGCAAAGGCCATGAAGTTTGGGCTCCAATGAACCAGGGTCCAAATTGTAGATATTTAGGGGAGTTTCTTGATGTTTCTGAGCCTCCGTTTTCTCTTAATGGGGAAATAATACCTGGTTCCTGGGATTGTGTTGAGGATGATTGAGGGAGACCATGGTTTCAAAGGGCTTTGTGCCATGCCTGGCACATGGTAGGTGTTGAGTAAGTGGTACTTCATTTGTCCTTTCTTCTCCAGCAGTGAATTAGATGGTGTTCATATAATGCCAAAGTAGCTTGCTACTTTAGTTTGTCCACACTCCAATAATTTACTACCAATCAGTGACAAAAGGAAAAGTCATGGCTGGGGCTTAATACAGCTTATTCAGAATACAGTCATTTAAGTGTTGCCTGGTTGTGGTTATTGCATTAAGAGCAATATTTAGTGACTCCCACATTTGGTGGGAGTGAAGCGGTAGCTAAACAAAAAATAAAAGCCTTGCATTAAGTGCATTTATTCATTGAAGAAACGAGTGTTTTCTAAATCAGTGCACATGTGTGCTTATTCACCCTCCTTAATGTTATCACATCTGTCTTTCTCAATTGCTCAGCTGCAACATATTCTCAAATATTTTATGGTACTTAATTTCAAGAAAATCGTTTCACCATGGTAGCAAGATAACAACAAATGTAATGAAAAATGTATTAAATATAATTCCCCACCACATAGAAATTTATAAGTGCCATCAATATTTATACAACATTTAAGAGGAAAATCAAAGTTATCTGAGACTGAGGCAGAGAGCATATACACAGAGAGTCCCTTCCTGATAATGAGATTTTCCCTGCTTAGACTGGAGGAAAATATTCAGGGAGGTTTCTGTTATATAGCATTTTCTCCATTCTGTTTGAAAATTGTTCTCTAATATAAATGTATCCCAGTGATCTCGTCAGGTCAATTACTGTTATTTACCTTCTTAAAATGAGGATGCCTTTGGCCAAACTATTATGGTATAACAAATGTGACAAAGAAGGGGGTAGGGAGGAGTCAGACTGCAGATTAAAGCGTCTTATATAGGTATTCAGTTGTAATCACACAAGAGATCGCTCGGTAAAAAATGGAGTTCAACTTTTGTTGAGTCATGGGTTAGTAGGGTCTTTTTCATGGTAGCTATTAAGATCTAGCCGTGTTGTCATGAAACAGTATCTTTAAAATCATTGACTAAGGGGAAAGATGTGTTATTTTGATAATATTGTATTAAGCCACCATTGACATGCTATGCTCACATCAGGCGTCACAACCTCATGCCTTGACCTGGTTTGTGCTTGCCACTATGACACTTGTTTACTTTCACTTAAGACAGACAAGAAGCACATGTTCCTTTTCAATATCTAAATCACAAAGTGAATACTGAAACTCAAGTTTTTTCTTATCAATTGATTTTTAATTTGTTATTTGGAATTAAGGAAAACAAATAATGAGGTCACAACACATTGCCCAGTGGTGGTCAGTCCCTCTACTTCGAAAGGCGGGAGTGGTCACAGCATTAATTGGGCAGCAACTGTGCTTGGCATTTTCCACATGTCACTTCATTTCTTCCTCGCAACAGCTGTTTGAGATAAGTATTGCTGCACCATTTTACAGCTGAAAAAGCTGAAGCTTATCACTGCTATCCAACTTGTCAATGTGACACCAGAAGTGGCAGAACTGGGGTGCAGAGGCACGCTCAATTAGAGAGTCCTTGGTCTGTCTTCTCCATCATGTCACCCCTCACAGAATTATTATAATTGGCCTCATGTCAACAAAAGTTCCCCCAAATAGTTGGTGGTTTGTTTTCACCAGTGGCATTGCAGGAGATCTACCACAGAAATATTTTCAAAAGCAGAAACACATATAGAAAATAGATGGTATAAGCAATGTTTTTATTTTGGAGAATGAAAATTACAAGAGGCTTAATCTGCCATTCAAATCTGTAATTCTTTGTTTCACTGGTCTTGCCTTAAGTCTTTTTCCTCAACATAGGGAAATTCAGATTAGGCTATGAGCTCGGAAGCCACAGTTTTCCTAAAACAGTATCTTCTCAGAGAAGAGAAATCATATTGAATACTGCTGGCTGACATTAATCTAAGAACATGTACCTCAATTTCAATAGTTGCCAAAACAAGAAAGAAGAAATATGAAGAGGAGGCAGACTTTAAGGGAGAATGTCATCTCCAGTATTGCCAAGAGCTGCGTTAGCAAGCAATATTTATAAACAAGCTCAATTATGTTTTTTACCGCCTCTTCACAGCTGGGTCATCCTGAGTGCCATTCTCACAACCAGATGTGTTGAATCCCCAGTGCAATGTGCAGCTCACAGTGTATCTGACACACACATGTATTTAGTTTCAAGGGTCACCAGTCTCCCAGGTCAGCATTTTTCTCACTTTTCAAGTAAATCAAGCATGACAAACCACTGTGTAATCTGCTTTTCTCTCTCCCAAATATGCTGTTCAATCAATACAAATTCCCAAAGGGTTACAACAAAGGCGAGCGTTTTCACTGTGCGATGGTGTGCTCCCAGCCTGAGGCCTCAAGATGGTTGAACAACACTGAATGGACACATTGGAAATAACGTATCACCCCAAGATGGCACCCACCACCCTTAAAGTGCTACAAGACCAGAGAGGGCATGGTGGAGAGGCCCACACATTTACAATCCATTATTTTCCCACCTTGCTTTTCACAGGCCCTTGAAAATATTTCTCAACCAACCGGCTGTAATATGACATTTTTCAAAGTAGAAAGCACAGCAGAATATTGACTTGAAATTTTGTGAGGCAAATAAAACTGTATGACATCTAAATGAGAATCCCCTGATTATGGGAATATACTCATGATTGCCTCAGTCAATGTAAGTATCATGTATGTTTACCTATTAGCAACTGGCTTATTAAATCATTAAAACAGTCAGAAATTTTGTGCATTATATCTGCAACTAGTCCCAGGATCTGTCTTTTTAGCAGAATTGCAAATGATCACATGGTCACTTTTGCAAAGAAAACTCGTATCATTATATGTCTGTGTCCCTCCCTAAAATGTGTATGTTGAACCTGTAACTTCCAATATAATTATATCTGGAGATGAGGCTTTTGGCAGGTAATTATGGTAACATTAAGTCATCAGGGTGGGATCCTCGTGATGGAATTAGTGCCCTTATAAGGAGAAGAGAGAGAGCTCTCTCTCCATGTGCAAACACCTAAGAAAAGCCATGTGAAGATCTAGAGAGAAACCTGCAAGCCAGTAAGAGGACCCTCACCAAGAAATGAATTGGCTGGCACCTTGATCTTGGACTTCGCAGCCTCTAGAACTGAGAAATAAATCTCTGTTGTTTAAGCCTCTCAGTCTACGCTGTTTCGTTATGGCAGTCCAAACAGACTAAGACAGTTATAATATCAGTTCTAATCAAATGTAGCTAATAATGTTACCCAAAAATAAATTTAAAAATGTAGGAGCAATGGGATAAATTGCTGTGCAAAGTTGTGGTCTGGGTTAGGCCATCTTTAGAATGCTCTGTTCTTACCTAATCAGAACAGAACCTCTGAAGATGACTGTCACCATCTTCATCCCCAATTATATTTCTGAGCAAGAACAAATGTGATGGAGTTTGGATATAAATGTGTGTCCTGTGATTGCATGTTATGAAATGAAATTCAGAACACTTGGGTAGACAAGTGCACTTCTGGGAACTATAGGACAAAAAGATTAAGTTCAGGATAAGAATGCATAGCCACTGCAGTTATTATGCATGGAAAACATCTTCCCTTTTTCTTCCAAAGCACGTGTGTGAACAGGGTTGTCCTTAGCACTCTTTTGGTTGCAAGAAACTACAATGCATCCACAACTCCTTAAACCCCTGACCCAGGGGGCAGAAGTAGGGCTTCCTAGGCTGGGGCTGGGTGTTCTCTCCATGTCATTGGATGGCTGTTTCCCACCAGCCCACAGCTCTATTTCCCCGATGTTGGCTTTATTCTCAAGAGACTTCTTCCCCAGTTGGGAGAGAAGGACATCAAAAGCCCCTGGTCTATAATCCAGCCATCAGGGAGCCAGAGATTAGGGGCTGATGGTCACTGGGAAGGCTGGATCACATGCACCCTTGACTGAGCCTGAGTAACCATGGGCCAAACCTTAGACCTGCAACTACCCATGAGCCTGTAGTTTGAGGACAGCCATCCCCAAATCACAGCCTGAAGCCATAAGAAAGGTGTTTTTTCCAAAGAAATGTGATGCTATTCCCATGTGTGAGAGGAAAAGCAGCTGCAACAGCAGATGGCCTGTTGCTCACTCAGCCTCCTTCCATTTAGGCTGCTTTCTTCTGTTGCCTGGTGTGCATCGTCTCTGAGTTATGTGAGTTCTCCTAATAACAAATCTGTTGGGTAAAAACGTGCGCTGTGCTACAAACTCCACTCCAAATACATTAGCTTAGGGGCCATAATACAAACTCTGAAACATTTATTGAAAACTACTCAATTAAATGTTTTATATTTACACTTTTCTCATCAAAATATACAGCTTCCTACGTAAGTATATATGTATCTCTGTGTACATACATGTGCATGTGTATGCACATAAATACGCATTATGGTATTTACTATAAACCAACCTACCTCTCTCTCCACCATCTCTCCTGTTCTTCCTTCCTTCCTTCCTTTCCAGCCTGGCATTGTTCTAAAACTAGGAATACAGCATTGACCTAGAGATATCTGTTCCTTGCCTCATGAAACTTGCTTTATGGAGATTACAGGTGAGAGAGAAAATAAACAAGTAAATATGAGGAATGTCGTCCAGTGCTAGGTCAATCAGCTGAGAGATGGGTCTGCCCCTGTGGAGTTGGCATCTGGGCTTTTAAAGGATCAGGGCCTCACCCAGAAGCTGAGTTTCCTGCTTTACAGCTCCAGGGAGGCTCAATTGCTTGGAGACCTCGTGTGAGCTCTCCAGGCCTCTTCCTTTTCATCTCTTGCAGCTCCTCCTTTGAGGGAAGCTTCTCCCATGAAGGAAGAAGAGCCTGGAGAGGCTCCATGGACCCTTCCTCACCCTGCCCCACTATGGTCTTATTCTTTAAAAATTTAAAATTGTACACAAATAGAAACATATGATACACCTGGAGTTCTTTGCTGAATTCAAATCCCCTTTCGTGTTTGTGCATAATGTTACATATATCCTATAATGCCTCAAAGTATGATTTTTGATGCTTTTCTGTCTCAAATCATTGTGTCATTACATTTTAATCTCCAGGAGAGATTTAGACTCTCCAAGGAAAAAAGGGCACATAAAATGAGATAAGCCTCAGAACCCTGTGAGAGCTGCTATGTATGATTACCCCACAATACCAAAGTCTTCAGAGTAATGCAGCTAAGCCTTTATCAATTGCTTTTTCAGGTTTCTGCAGTTGGAGCGTAATCTCCCTGGAATGCTCTGAATCTTATCCTTCACGTGACCTTGTAAGAAACCAGAGTATGCACAGATTCAATATGGGAAGTGCTCAGCAACCTGTTTCAAAGCTCTCGGTAAAAGTTTGCAGGGATCAAAAGGAGTGGGTGACTTCAATTAAATCACCCTTGGAACCTGGTGTTATGTTCCTTAAGGATCAAGACATCTCAGCTGTTTTATTTTAAAAAAATGTATTTGGCATCTAACTAACAAGAGATAAAACCTGAGCAAGGAGACTCGCTCTCTGTCCCAACCTTGAGGCGTGGAGCCCAGTCTTTCAGATTATGTTCATCTAGGGCCATGCTGCATGGATTTTTACCCCAGTTGTGAGATCTTGGTGCAGTTACTATCTCAATTCTTCAGTTTCCACGTTGTAAAATGGGGTTGATAGCAGCATTCACCTGGGAGCACTGTCAGGAGAAAAGAAGAGGATTCACATAGTGAGCCTGCGCTGAGTCCACAGTAAGTCCATATTAAGTGCAAGCCTTCATACTTGTGATGAAAACATTTCCACTGCTCACAGAAATCATGTGCAGGGTTTGGGGTGAGGGAACAAGGAGGTTTTATGGGGAGAATAAGCTGGAAGTTGCATGCGATTAAAAACCTAAAAGTAATAATGTGGTGGCGAAAGAATTCTGGACCAGGAGTCAAGAGGTCTGGATTTAGTTCTGGCTCTGTATCCAATGAATTGTGTGACTTGGGCTGAACAAATACTTTCTGGGCACCTACCAATTGCCAGGTATTAGGATTCAGAGACCAATAAAACACTGTCCCTGTTTAACAGACATTCACAGACTTGTAGAAGAGAAAATTATGTGAACACAGTTATAAAACCCTGTGTGAACCACACCACAAAACAATTACAGAAAGGGGAATTCCTGTAATTTATATTCTCTGGAGGGTCAAAGAAGGCTTCCCAGAGGCAGGATTGAAGCAAGACTAGGAGTTAATAATGTGAGAACACAGTTGAGGAAGCTGAGTGAGACAGACTTGAGTTAAAAACTCAAACCAGCCTCTTGGAGTCAAGTAAAACTGGATAAGTTATTTACCCTGCTTTAGCCTCAGTTTCCTCCTCTGTGAACCACCTGTTTTGCTGGATTCTGAGAAGGATTAGAAATAATACATAAAAAGCATCCAGCCAGGATCATTCATGTTAGTTAAGTGTTATGCGCATGGTAAAACACACTTATATGTCCCTTTGCCCTCAAAAACCCTTTTCAGCCCTCACACTCTAAGCCTCTATGCATCAGACCCAAAGGAATGTTATGTTGTCACCTCCGGGTGCAGTTTTAAAGACTGCTATGAACTTTACTGGAACTGAAAGTTTAATGTGGAAAGTTTCACGAATGGTTGTTGGTTCAGGTAGAGAGCCTGAGTGAATAGAAACATGACTATATTTCTAAATTTCACCAGCTTTTCTGAGGGGCAAGGCAAAGGTTAGTCATTTATTCTGCCTTTTAGTTCTCTTTCATTTCTTGTGGGAAGCTGTTCCCAACTAACAAATTATCATTCATCCTATTCTCTCCTTTTTGATGGGCAAGACATACCACCCAACATTCTAAAACCAAAGGGAAAACATCTCTAGAGAAAATTTCATGCCTCTCACCGTACCCAAACCAAGAGAGACTTCCTTCCCTGGATTGAGAAGCCCGAATTGCAAACTGCAGTCTTATTCACAAACTTACTAGTTTGAGAACTCAACTGGATTGCAGAAATGAGCCCACATTCTACCATCAACTGTAAAGGAAGAAGGAAACTCAGAGATCAGAAACTCAGAGATCATTTAGCCCTTATTGTCCCTGCAAATGAGGAAACCCAGACTGTGACAGGTGCGGCAACTCACCAAGGTCCCAAGGCTAGCTTAGGAACAAAGTCAGGAAGAGAATTTTAATTCCAGACTCATAGACCAGTGCTCTTTTTCCCCTGCACAGTCAGTCTTTCCAAATAACCACCATGTTAATGTGCCTAGAAAACCCAAATGTAATCAAACACAGCCCTCAAATTGCATGTTTGGGAATCTTGATAAATACGATACTGACACAGCTGGAGAAAAGATGAAGATTAAAAGCATGCACAGGAGGTTAAGTCACGTGTTACATTCTAGCAAGATGCTTGCTATTTTTGATACCTTTCCATGGAGCCTGTGGAGATCATGGTATTTATGATTAGAAAAAATATTAACTATGAGAAAAGCTAAAGCATTTTGGGCTATTTTAAGAGGATAGTTATTTTCCTTAATTTCAATGTGAACATTAAAAAGGACATTAGGTAAAAACTAAAAAAAAAAAAATCTCAAGTATAAATTGTGTGACTTGGGCTGAACACATATTTTCTGGGCACCTACCAATTGCCAGGTATTTGTTCAGCCCAAGTCACACAATTGATCTCTGAACAATAAAACACTGTTCCTGTTCTACAGACATTCACAGACTTACAGAAAATTCTGTAAACACAGATATAAAGCCCTGTGTGCAATTCTTCTACATAGGAAATGTACCTACTTTTACCCATTTATTTATATTAGTATAAGGTATGAATTTTTCTTATACTCTGGGCTATATTTCAATACCACTTTATTTTGTTGCTCAAACCAGTCCAGATTTTGCCGTGGGGAGCTCATTCAGTTGACTTACAAAAGTCTTTTTTTACATACCCCCAAAATTATGTTTCTTCTTCTCCTTCTCCTGGTCCTTCTCCATCTCCTTCCTTCTTCCTTCTCCTTCCTCCTCCTTCTTTGTTTCTGTCCCTACTAGATGTTCTAGACTCATCTTGTATTATATTAGTACATGTCTTATTATAGGTACTAATATATAATTATATAATATATATGTACAATATATTAGTACATGTCTTAGTACATGCACTAAGTAGTATATTAGTACATGTACATGTAGTATATTGTACATGTAGTATATCAGTACATGTACATGTATATTGTACATGTAGTATAGTAGTATAATATACTATAGCATATAGTATAATATAGTATAATATACATTAGTATAATATACTACATGTACATGTAGTACATGTACATGTAGTATATTAGTATATGTCTTAGTACATGAATTTGCTATGTCTGGAAGAATCACTGGTCCTTTCACTGGAGAATAGTATTATAAACCAAGATCAGAGTATTAGGTGTATAATAAGTGGTGCATATATGCATATATATATATATATATATATATATATATATATATATATATATATACATATTTCCATAACCACTGTATCTCTGTTAAGCTAAACATGAGTTCATACTGAATGCTCCAATTCTAATTCTAACACAGTTCATTCTAGCCTGCTTCTTTTGCTTATTGGTAAACTGTCAGTGGAATGGTGAGAAACCCAGCTCCTACCATCTACAACCCATTTACTGAAATGTTCAATCCTAGGATACATTTATATACCAGTATCAAAATTGTTAACATCTATCCCTATGGAAAACAATTTATCAACTAGAGTACAGTGCTTATGCACAGTTTCATTTGCCTTTACTCTTACAGGTTTCACTCATTTTCAAAGTTATTTCGGTCAGCACCTGTTCTCCCACTACCCCCAGGGATATTGTTTCTCCAGCCTCACTGATGTTTATCTCAGTGAGGTTGTTGATTACACTTGTAATACAGTTAGATTCTTATGTTACTTTCTGAATTTAATCCTGGGATCCCTGGGCCTTCTACATGATTTATTTTTATGCTGCGTATATAAAGTTTCACTTCTTGTACTATAAATTTCTGTGGATTTTGACAGAAGTATTGGTGGCTTTATCACTCTACAAAATCTCTTGTGCTTCACCTATTCAACACTAGACCATGCACTGCTGAACTGAGAAAACCACTGATCTTGTAACTGCAGGAACGTGGATGGAGCTGGCAGACAACCTCAGCACACTGAAATTTTGCCTTTTCCAGATTGCCAAATAATTGAAACCATGGAACATGCAGCCTTTTCAAATTGGCTTCTTTCACTTAGCAATGTGCATTTAAGTTTCCTCCATGTGGCTTTTTGGGGAATGATTGCTTATTTTTTTAAATTACTGAATGCTACTACATTCTACAGGTATTTCAGTTTGTTCATTCATCTATTATATTAAAGATACTTTGGTTGTTTCCAGTTTGGGGCACATGAATAATGTTTCTATACATATTTATATACAGGTTTCTGTATGAGCATATGTTTTCTAGTCAGTTGGGTAAATACCAACGAGTGAGACACTAGATTGTATACTACAGTAATGACTCACATTATGAGAAAATGCCAAACTGTCTTTTTTTTCTTTTTTTTTTATTACACTTTAATTTTTAGGGTACATGTGCACAATGTGCAGGTTAGTTACATATGTATACATGTGCCATGTTGGTGTGCTGCACCCAGTAACTCGTCATTTAACATTAGGTATATCTCCAAATGCTATCCCTCCCCCGTCCTTCTACCCCCACAACAGGCCCCGGTGTGTGATGTTCCCCTTCCTATGTCCATGTGTTCTCATTGTTCAATCCTCACCTATGAATGAGAACATGCGGTGTTTGGTTTTTTGTCCTTGAGATAGTTTGCTGCGAATGATGGTTTCTAGCTTCATCCATGTCCCTACAAAGGACATGAACTCATCATTTTTTATGGCTGCATAGTATTCCATGGTATATATGTGCCACATTTTCTTAATCCAATCTATCATTGTTGGACATTTGGGTTGGTTCCAGGTCTTCGCTATTGTGAATAGTGCCACAGTAAACATACGTGTGCATGTGTCTTTATAGCAGTATGATTGATAATCCTTTGGGTATATACCCAGTAATGGGATTGCTGGGTCAAATGGTATTTCTGGTTCTAGATCCCTGAGGAATCACCACACTGACTTCCACAATTGTTGAACTAGTTTACAGTCTCACCAACAGTGTAAGTGTACCTATTTCTCCACATCCTCTCCAGCACCTGTTGTTTCCTGACTTTTTAATGATTCCCATTCTAACTGGTGTGAGATGGTATCTCATTGTGGTTTTGATTTGCATTTCTCTGATGGCCAGTAATGATGAGCATTTTTTCATGTGTCTATTGGCTGCATAAATGTCTTCTTTTGTGTCTGTTCATATCCTTCACCCACTTTTTGATGGGTTTGTTTTTTTCTTGTAAATTTGTTTGAGTTCATTGTAGATTCTGAATATTAGCCCTTTGTCAGCTGAGTAGATTGCAAAAATTTTCTCCCATTCTGTAGGTTGCCTGTTCACTCTGTTGGTAGTTGCTTTTGCTGTGCAGAAGCTCTTTAGTTTAATTAGATCCCATTTGTCAATTTTGGCTTTTGTTGCCATTGCTTTTGGTGTTTTAGACATGAAGTCCTTGTCCATGCCTATGTCCTGAATGGTATGCCTAGGTTTTCTTCTAGGGTTTTTATGGTTTTAGGTCTAACATTTAAGTCTTTAATCCATCTTGAATCGATTTTTGTATAGTGTGTAAGGAAGGGAACCAGTTTCAGCTTTCTACATATGGCTAGTCAGTTTTCCCAGCACCATTTATTAAATAGGGAATCCTTTCCCCATTGCTTGTTTTTGTCACGTTTGTCAAAGATCAGATGGTTGTAGATATGTGGCATTATTTCTGAGGGCTCTGTTCTGTTCCATTGGTCTATATCTCTATTTTGGTACCAGTACCATGCTGTTTTGGTTACTGTAGCCTTGTAGTAGAGTTTGAAATCAGGTAGAGTGATGCCTCCAGCTTTGTTCTTTTGGCTTAGGATTGACTTGGCAATGCAGGCTGTTTTTTGATTCCATATGAACTTTAAAGTAGTTTTTTCCAATTCTGTGAAGAAAGTCATTGGCAGCTTGCTGGGGGTGGCATTGAATCTATAAATTACCTTGGGCAGTATGGCCAATTTCATGATATTGATTCTTCCTACCCATGAGCATGGAATGTTCTTCCATTTGTTTGTATCCTCTTTTATTTCACTGAGCAGTGGTTTGTAGTTCTCCTTGAAGAGGTCCTGCTAGCAAGACTAATAAAGAAGAAAATAGAGAAGAATCAAATAGATGCAATAAAAAATGATAAAGGGGATATCACCACCAATCCCACAGAAATACAAACTACCATCAGAGAATACTATAAACACCTCTAGGCAAATAAACTGGAAAATCTAGAAGAAATGGATAAATTCCTCGACACATACACCCTCCCAAGACTAAACCAGGAAGAAGTTGAATCTCTGAATAGACCAATAACAGGAGCTGAAATTGAGGCAATATTCAATAGCTTACCAACCAAAAAAAGTCCAGGACCAGATGGATTCACAGCCGAATTCTACCAGAGGTACAAGGAGGAGTTGGTACCATTCCTTCTGAAACTATTCCAATCAATAGAGAAAGAGGGAATCCTCCCTAACTCATTTTATGAGACCAGCATCATCGTGATACCAAAGCCTGGCAGAGACTCAACAAAAAAGAGAATTTTAGACCAATATCCCTGATGAACAGCAATGCAAAAATCCTCAGTAAAATACTGGCAAACCGAATCCAGCAGCACATCAAAAAGCTTATCCACCATGATCAAGTGGGCTTTATCCCTGGGATGCAAGGCTGGTTCAACATATGCAAATCAATAAATGTAATCCAGCATATAAACAGAACCAAAGACAAAAACCATATGATTATCTCAATAGATGCAGAAAAGGCCTTTGACAAAATTCAACAACCCTTCATGCTAAAAACTCTCAATAAACTATGTATTGATGGGTCGTATCTCAAAATAATAAGAGCTATCTATGACAAACCCACAGCCAATATCATACTGAATGGGCAAAAACTGGAAGCATTCCCTTTGAAAACTGGCACAAGATAGGGATGCCCTCGCTCACCACTCCTATTCAACATAGTGTTGGAAGTTCTGGCCAGGGCAATCAGGCAAGAGAAGGAAATAAAGGGTATTCAATTAGGAAAAGAGGAAGTCAAATTGTCCATTTGCAGATAACATGATTGTATATCTAGAAAACCCCATCATCTCAGCCCCAAAATCTCCTTAAGCTGATAGGCAACTTCAGCAAAGTCTCAGGATACAAAATCAATGTGCAAAAATCACAAGCATCCTTATACACCAATAACAGACAAACAGAGAGCCAAATCATGAGTGAACTCCCATTCACAATTGCTTCAAAGAGAATAAAATACCTAGGAATCCAACTTACAAGGGATGTGAAGGACCTCTTCAAGGAGAACTACAAACCAAACTGTCTTTCAAAATGGCTATGCCATTTTGCACTCCTAGCAGCAATTAATACTTCCTTTTGCTTTGTGTCCTCTACCTTATTTGGCTTTATCAGTTTTTTCTATGTTAGCCAGTCTATTAATAATAGATATATAGTAAATAAGTTACTATTGTTTTAACTTGCAATTCCCTAATAAATGATAATTTGTGGTATTAATTTATAGATTAATTTCATTATTTTCTGAGAATTTGGTATCATTTCTACTTTTAAAATACTTTGTGTGCTTTATGCCTAGATTGGGTCTACTGGGTGAAGGTTCCATGAAAGCTTGAGAAGAATATGTATTTTGTTGTCAGATGGAATAGTCTATACATGTCAATTTGATAAAGTTGTATAATAGCACTGTTCAGGTTAACTATATCCTTACTGTTTTTCTGACTGCTTGAGCTATCAGTTACTGAAAAAGGAGTTATGAAATCTCCAGCTATAATAAGAAATTTTTCTGTTACTCCTCACCAATCTCAGTTTTTGCCTTATATATTTAGATTCTCTGTTGTTAGATGCATACATGTTTAGAACTATTTCCCGTTCTTGGAAAGTTAGTCCCTTTATCATTATGCAATGCCCCTCTTTATTTCTGTTAATTTTTCTGGTTCAGAAGTTTGCTTTGTCTGAAATTAACACAGCTACTCTGGCTTTTTTTTAAACTTAGTTTTAGCATGGTGTGTGTGTGTATATATATATATATATATAAAATTTACATATGTTATATATGTTACATATATAACATAATTTATATATGTAACATATATAACATAATTTATATACGTAATTTATATATATAATTTATATTATATATAATTTATATATTATGTATAAGTTTTTTTGTGTTTTCAGTAGAGACAGGGTTTCACCGTGTTAGCCAGGATGGTCTCGATCACTGACCTCGTGATCCGCCCACCTCAGCCTCCCAAAGTGCTGGGATTACAGGCGTTAGCCACCACGCCCAGCCAGCATCATGTATCTTTACCATGATATATCTTTCTACACCCCTTTTTTTTTAATCTTCAACTTTTAAGTTCAAGAGTACATGTGCAGGATGTGCAGGTTTGTTACATAGGTAAATGTGTGCCATGATGGTTTGCTGCACGGATTATCCCATCACCTATGTATTAAGCCCAGCATCTATAAACTATTCTTCCTAATGCTCTGCCTCCCTGGCCCCATGACAAGCCCCAGTATGTGTTGTTCCCCACGTCCCCCCTTCCCCCAGTGTGTCCACATGTTCCCATCATTGAGCTCCCATTTATAAGTGAGAACATGCAGTTTTTGGTTTTCTGTTCCTGCATTAGTTTGCTGAGGATAGTGGCATCTGAAAGCTCCATCCATGTCCCTGCAAAGGACATGATCTCATTCTATTTTATGGCTGCATAGTATTCCATGGTGTAAATGTACATTTTCTTTATCCAGTCTATCACTGATGGACATTTGGGTTGATTCTAAGTCTTTGCTATCATGAACAGTGCTGTAATGAACATATGCATGCATCTTTATAATAAAATGATTTATATTCCTTTGGGTATATACCCAGTAATGGGATTGCTGGGTCAAATGGTATTTCCACCTCCAGATCTTTGAGGAGTTGCCACACTGTCTTCCACAGTGGGTTGAACTCCCACCAACAGTGTAATAGCCTTCCTTTTTCTCTGCAACATCACAAGCATCTGCTGTTTTTTGACTTTTTAGTAACTGCCATTCTGACTAGCATAAGATGGTATCTCATTGTGGTTTTGATGTGCATTTTTTTAATGATCAGTGATGTTGAGCTTTTTTCATATATTTGTTGTCCACAAGTATGTCGTCTTTTGAGAAGTATCTGTTCACATCCTTTGCCCACTTTTTAATGGGGTTGTTTGTTTTGTTCCTGTCAATTTGTTTAAGTTCCTTGTAGACTCTCAGTATCAGACCTTTCTCAGATAGATAGATTGCAAAAAAAAAAAGTCTCCTATTCTGTAGGTTATCGGTTCATTCTTATGACAGTTTCTTTTTCTGTGCAGAAGCTCTTTAATTAGATCCCAATTGTCAATTTTTCCTTTTGTTGCAACTGCTTTTGTCATTTTTGTCATGAAATTTTTGCCTGTATCTATGTTCTGAATCATATTGCCAAGATTTTCTTCTAGGGTTTTTATAGTTTGGGGTTTCACATTTGTCTTTAATCCATCTTGAGGTAATTTTTGTATATGGTGTAAGGAAGGGGTCTAGTTTTAATCTTCTGCATATGGCTTGCCAGATATCGCATAACCATTTATTAAATAGGGAATCCTTTTGCCATTGCTTTTTTTGGTCAGGTTTGTCAAAGACCAGATGGTTACAGGTGTGAGTGGTTACTTCTGAGTTCTCTATTCTGTTTCATTGTTCTATGTGTCTGTTCTTGTACCAGTACATGCTGTTTTAGTTACTGTAGTCTTTTAGTATAGTTTAAAGTCAGGTAGCCTATCTCCAGGTTTGTCCTTTTTACTTAGGATTCCCTTGGCTATTAGGGCTCTTTTTAAGTTTCATACGAATTTAAAATTTTTTTTTCTAATTATGTGTAGTATTAGAAAGTATGTCAGTGGTAGTATAATAGCATTGAACCGATAAATTGCTTTAGGCAATATGGCTATTGTCACAATATTGATTCTTCCTATCCATAAGCATGTAATATTTTTCCATTTGTGTCATCACTGATTTCTTTGAGCAGTGTTTTGTAGTTTCCCTTAAAGATGTCCTTCACTTCCCTTGTTAGTTGTATTCCTAAGTATTTTATTCTCTTTGAAGCAATTGTGAATTGGACTTCATTCATGATTTGGATTTCTACTTGCCTGTTTTAGGTATATAGAAATGCTGGCAATTTTTGCACATTGATTTTTTATGCTGACACTTTGCTGAGGTTGCTTATCAGCTTAAGAAGCTTTTGGGCAGAGATGATGGAGTTTTCTAGATATAGGATCATGTCATCTGCAAACAGGGATATTTTGACTTTCTCTCTTCCTATCTGGATGCCTTTTATTTCTTTCTCTTACCTGGTTGTCCTGCCCAGAACTTCCAATACTGTGTTTAATAGGAGTGGTGAGAGAGGGCATCCTTGTCTTGTGCCAGTTTTCAAGGGGGAATGCTTCCAGCTTTGGCCCATTCAGTATGATACTGGCTATGGGTTTGCCATATATGGCTCTTATTATTTTGAGGTATGTGTCCTCCATACCTAGTTCATTGAGAGTTTTTAACATGAAGAGATGTTGAATTTTATCGAAGGCCTTTTCTGCATCTATTGAGATAATCATGTGGTTTTTATCTTTAGTTCTATTTATGAGATGAATAAAATTTATTGATTTGCATATGTTGAATCAACTTTGCATCCTGAAAATGAAGTCAACTTGATCATGTTAGATAAACTTTTTGATGTGCTGCTGCATTCAGTTTGCCAGTATTTTACTGAGAATTTTTGGTTCAATTTTCATCAGGGATATTGGCTTAAAGTTTTCTGTTGTTGTATCTCTGCCAGGTTTTGGTATCAAGATGATGCTGGCCTCATAGAATGAGTTAGGGAGGAGTCCTTCCTTCTCAGTTATTTGGAATAAATTCAGTAGAAATGGTACCAGCTATTCTTTGTACCTCTGGTAGAATTCAGCTGTGCATCCATTTGGTCCTGGGCTTTTTTTTGGTTGGTGGGCTGTTTATCACTGCCTATATTTTAGAACTCATTATTGGTCTATTTGGTTTCTTCCTGGTTCAGTCTTGGGACAGTGTATGTGTCCAAGAATTTATCCATTTAGTCTACATTTTTTAGTTTATGTTCATAGATGTGTTTGTAGTATTCTCCGATGGTTGGTTTATTTCTGCGGGGTCAGTGGTGATATCGCCCTTATCATTTCTGATTGTGTTTATTTCAGTCTTCTCTCATTTCTTCTTTATTAGTCTAAGCTAGCAGTCTATCTAATTTATGTATTTTTTTTATAAACCAACCCCTGGATTCTTTGATTTTTTTGAAGGGTTTTTTGTGTCTCTATCTCCTTCAATTCAGTTCTAATCTTGGTTATTTCTTGTCTTCTGCTAGCTTTGGTTTTTGTTTGCTCTTGGTTCTCTAGTTCTTTTAGTTGTGACGTTAGGTTGTTAACTTGAGATCTTTCTAGATTTTTGATGTGGGCATGTAGTGCTATAAATTTCCTTCTCAAAACCACTTTATAATCAAAGAGATTCTGTTACATTGTCTTTTGGTTCCTATTAGTTTCAAATAACTTCTTGATTTCTACCTGAATTTCATTATTTGCCCAGAATTCATTCAGTAGAAGGTTGTTCAATTTGCATGCAGTTGTGTGGTTTTGAATGAATTTATCTTGAGTTATAATTTGATTGCTCTGTGTTCTTAGAGACTGTCAGTTATGACTTCAGTTCTTTTACACTTGCTGAGAATGTTTTACTTCTGATTATGTGATCAATTTTAGAGTAAGTGCCATGTGGAATGAGAAGAATGTGTATTCTGTTGTTTCTGGGTGAAGAGTTCTGTAGGTATCTGTCAGGTCCACTCAATCCAGAGCTGAGTTCAGGTCCTGAATGTCTTTGCTAATTTTCTGTCTCCAATGATCTAATATGGTCAGTTGGGTGATCGAAGTTTCCCATTATTACTATGTGGGAGTCTAAGGCTCTTTGTAGGTCTCTAAGAACTTGCTTTATGAATCTGGCTGCTCCTGTATTGGGTGCATGTTTAGTTCAGACAGTTAGCTGTTCTTGTTGAATTGAACTTTTACCATTATGTAATGCCCTTGTCTTTTTAAATCTTTGTTGGCTTAAACTTTGTTTTATCAGAAACCAGAATTGCAATCCCTGTTTTCCACTTGCTTGGTAATTTTCTTCCATCCCTTTATTTTCAGCCTATGTGTGTCTTCACATGTGAGAGAGGTCTCTTGAATACAGCACACTGATGGGTCTTTACTCTTTATCCAGCTTGCCATTCTGTGTCTTTTAATTGAGGTCTTTATCCCATTTACATTTAAGGTTAATATTGTTATGTGTGTATTTGATCCTGTCATCATGGTGCTAGCTGGTTATTTTGCAGACTTGTTTTTGTAGGTGCTTCATAGTGTCACTGGTCTGTGTAATTCAGTGTGTTTTTGTAGTGGCTGGTAATGGTTTTTCCTTTCCATATTTAGTGCTTCCTTTAGAAGCCCTTGCAAGATATGCCTGAATTCCCTCAGCATTTGCTTGCCTGGAAAGGATTTATCTCTCCTTTGCTTATGAAGCTTAGTTTGGCCAGATATAAAATTTTGGGTTGAAAATTATTTTCTTTAAGAATGTGAAATATTGATCCCCAATCTCTTCTGGCTTGTAGGGTTTCCACTGAGAAGTCCACTATTAGTCTGATGGGCTTCCCTTTGTAGGTGACCTGGCCTTTCTCTCTAGCTTCCCTTAACATTTTTTTCTTTCATTATGACCTTGGAGAATCTGTTGATTCTGTGTCCTGGGGCTCATCTTCTCATGGAGTATCTTACTGGGGTTCTTTGAATTTCCTGAATTTGAATGTTGGCCTGACTTTCCAGGTTAAGGAAGTTCTCCTGGATGATATCCTGAAGTATGTTTTCCAGCTTGGTTCCATTCTCTCCATCACTTTCAGGTACCCCAAACAGTCATAGGTTTGGTCTTTTCACATAATACCATATTTCTCAGAGGTTTTGTTCATCATTATTTATTCTTTTTTCTCTATTCTTGTCTGCCTGTCTTGTTTAAGATAGTCTTCAAGCTCTGAGATTCTTTCCTTCACTTAGTCTATTCTTCAATTCATACTTTTGTGATTGCATTGTGAAGTTCTCTTGTCGTGTTTTTCAGCTCCATCAGGTCAGTTATGTTCCTCTCCAAACTTGCTATTCGGCATATCAGTTCCTCTAATGTTTGTTGTATCATGATTCTTAGCTTCTTTGTATTGGGTTACAACATGCATTGGGTTACAACATACAAGTTCATTATTACCCACATTCTGAAATCTATTTCTGTCAATTCAGCCATCTCAGTCTCAGCCCAGTTCTGTGCCCTTGCTGGAAAGGTGTTGCAGCCATTTAGAGGAGACGAGGCACTCTGGCTTTTTGAGTTTTCAGCATTTTTGCATAGATTTTTTTCTAATCTTTGTGATCTTATCTACCTTCAATCTTTGAGGTTGCTAACCTTTGAATAGGGTCTTTGTAGGGTCTTCTTTGTTGATGTTTGTTTTTTAACAGGCCACTGACTGTTAGCAACAATATGGTTACTATGGTTTTCTGGGGGTCTGCTCCAAACCCCAGTTGCCTCAGCTTTTCTCGTACCTGGAGGTATCACCAGTGAAGGCTGTGAAACAGCAAAGATGACAGTCTACTCCTTCCTCTGGAAGCTCTGTTCCAGTGGATACTGACCTGTTGCTGGTCTGAACACTCCTTTGGGTGGTGTCTGGAAACACCCCTGTTGGGATATGTCACCCAGTCTGAAGGAACGGGATCAGGGACCCACTTACAGAAGCTGTCTGGCTGTTTTTTGGTAGAACATGTGTGCTGCATTTGGGGGAACCCTTCCTTGTCTGGACAGCCCAGATTCTCCAGAGCCAGAAGGCTGGAACAGTCGAGTCAACTGAACCACAGAGATGGCAGCCATCCCTCCCCCAGGAGCTGCTTCCCAGGGCAAGTTCTGTCCATGTAAGCCTGGCCGGAGTGACTGAAGGCCCCCTGCAGGGAGGCCCCACCCAGTGAGGAGGAATTGTCTGGGGACCCACTTTAAAAATAAGTCTGGGCCAAATCTGGCAAAGCAGGTGTTCTGTGTTGGGGGAGGACCCTCCTTTTCTGGACTGCCTGGACTCCCCAGAACCAGCAGGCTGGTATACTGAGTCAATGAAACCACAGAAATTTCAGCTGCCCCTGCCTCCAGAAACTCTCCCACCAATTCAGGCAGACTCAACCTGCTGCCACTGGGTCCTAACCTGTAAGGTACCATGGAAGTGGGGCCCGCAGAATGACATTGCTTGGCTCCCTGGATTCAGCCCCCTTCCTAGGGAAATGTATGGATGGATCTTCCACCTCACTGGGGATCCTGGGGCCAGAGTATATAAAACTCCTGGGTCTCTGTGTGTGCCTGAGTGGCTGCTCACAGCTCTGTGCATAGGACCCAAGGCCCAGGTAGCGTGGGCTCAGGAGAGGATCTCCAGATCCATGGGAGAAGCATGGTTTCCCAGGGGGAATCACAGTCACTCACTGCCTCCCTTGGCTAGGGGTGGGGGTTCCTTTGGCTCCATGTTGCTCCGAGGTGTAGGCCATTGCCCCACCCTGCTTTTGTTTGCTCTCCCTGGGTGGAGCACTGCCTAGTTAGCCCCAGTGGGAGCAGAGGTTGCAGTGAGTGGAGATCATGGCATTGCACTCCAGCCTGGGCAAGAAGAACAAAACTCTGTATCAAAAAAGAAAAAAAAAAAAAAAAAACCCTGAGTACTTCAGTTGAAGGTGCCAAATTCACTTTTCACTTACTGCTCTCATTCCTCTTCATGAGTGCCACAGACTGCAACTGCCACTCACCCCTTTACTTTGAACATATCATCAGTGTCTTTATAGTTAAAGTGGGTTTCTTTTGTACACAACATGTAACTGAATCTTATTTTTTTATTCACTCTGAAAATCTGAGTCTGGTGCTTTTAGATGATTCACATTTTAAGTGATTATTGATACATTTGCATTAATATCTACCACGTTTGGCACTTTTCTATTAGTGATTATTTGTTCTTTGTTTTTCCCCGATTTACTGCCTTCTCTGATTTTACTTGAGCATTTAATATAATTCCATTTTATCTCTCCTTTTCCATATCTATTACACTTAAAAAATAGTGGTTACCCTAGTAGTTACACTATACATTTTATAACACTATATTACTTAACATATAGTATAGATATTTTATAACAAAGTATTCTTGATTCTTCTTTACTATCTCCTATGACACTGCTATAATTATTGTCACAATATTCTATATCCACCAAATACATCATTATTATTACTTCAAAAAGCAATTAACTTTTAAATCAATTAAAAATAAATCTCCTGAGGTTTGCTGTCTTAAGAATTCGTTCTATGTCCCTTCCCTTGAATTATTCATTTTGTTTTGTATAATAAACTTCGTTATCTCTTATTTCCAAGACCAGTTATGCTCTTTACCTTCTTTCACACGCTCAGTAACTTTGTTTGCTTGCTTTTTTGTTTTATAAGTCTTGAGTCTTCTCTAACCCCGGACATAATTTCCATGACCCAAAGCCCTAAACTAGTCCAGTCCAACCTGAAGTTAAGCAAAATCCTAAGATCCTTCCAAAAAAATTCTTAAAAGAAAGAAGATTAGAAGATTGGAAGAAGCCTGAACAAATGGTAATTTTCTAGTAAATTGCCTTCATTTAATGTATTTACTGTTAATTTAAATGTGTTAATATCTAAAAAGTGGTTTAAAAAATATAGGTAACAGTAAATTATTGGAGAGTTTACAAATTTCAACTGCCACTTGGATTCAGGGCAAATCAAAAATGTTCTGAAGCCTTCCCTGTTTTCTCCGTATGCATAATGACTACCATAATTCAACTTTCTGGCAGAACTGAATGCAGGATATGTGCTCAGTGAACATCAAAAGAATTATATGATTTAGTACTACTAGGCGGTCAATAAATATTTTGGATTATAAATCACTGAAACCGAAATCACTGAAACCTGGTAGATGACCAAACAATTATGAGAAATTAGGCTTCACCATAATTTAAGAATGCTGATCTTTGAATAGCACCATTAAGAAAATGAAAGACAAGACAAAGACTGGGTGAAAATATTTGCAAAACATATATCTGATAAAGATCCCTTAAATTAAAAGACTTTTCACCAAAAAATACATATGAGTCTCAAGCATGTAAAAAATGCTCAACATTAAGGGAAATGAAAATTAAAAAAGATGATGAAATATCACACCTACTAGAAAGGTTCAAATTAAAAAGATTCATAATATCAATACTGGTGAAGAAAAACAACAAGAACCCTTAAATATTGCTGGCGAGATGTGAAATAGTACAGTTGCTCTGAAAAAAAATTTGACGAATGTTCAAAGTAGTTTTAATCGTAAGAGCTAAAAACTGAAAATAATGCAAATATTCATCAATTGCCAAGGTTCAAACAAACTGTGGTATATTCACACAATTATATATGACTTTTAGCAATGAAAAGGGGAAAATTACTGATGCAAGCAAGATGGCTAAATCTTAAAATGTTTTGCTAGATGAAAGAAAATAGATAAAAAGGCCATATTCTGTATGGTTCTTCTATTTATGTGATCTTCTGGAAAAGGCAAAACTATAAGGGCAGAGATTCAATCATTTCAAGAGTTGGAGTGGAGGCAGTAAATTGATTTCAAAGGGGTATGGGGGAAATTTGATGGGACTATTCTGTATCTTGAGTGTGATTATGAGTGCACAACTATATACATTTCTCAAAACTCAATGAACTGTATACTTTAAAAAGGCAAATTTTACTTGTATAAATTATGACTTAATAAACCTGACTTGAAAAAGCCACACAGATAAATGTAATGCATTAGAAATAAAATAGACTTAGGTATCAAACATAATTGAGTGTGATTTCCAGCTTTTTTGTTTATGATGACCTTTGTGATTTAATCTTTGTTTATGACCGTTGTGATTTAATCATCTATTCATTGTACATCCATCCATTCAATCAAAATGCAAAAATATTCTAAATGATGAGGATGGTTAATTAGGACAGAGGAAATCATTGCCTCAGGATCCAGTATATTTGAACTGAGGCCCAAATAATAAAAAGGAGCAACATAGGGGCCATCTGGAAAAGACATTCTGGGGAAAGCAGAGGGAAAAAGTGAGAACCAGCATAGCATGTTTGAAAGTTGTATAGGGCACCAATGTGGCTGTAATATATAGTGAATGAGCTAAGAAGTAGGAGGAGGTGAGATCACAAAAGTGGGCAGTTACCAGACCATCATTGCATCTAGGGCTTCTGATAAGTTGTTGTTTTATTCTGAGAGCAATGATAAGTCACCAAAATATTTTAAGCAAGATAGTCACAAAGACATATTCAAAAATATGTTTTAAAAATGGACCATTCTAGCCAATGTATAGAAAACTGCCTGTGGCAGGTAGGCAAGACTTATGGTAAGAAATGGAAGTTAATGAATTGGACATGGTGAATAGAAATTAGAGAGGAACTCTTAGGATACTTTACTGAATCTACTGGAATCTTTTTGTTTTGTTTCTCTTAATTTTGAAAAGTGGGCCTAGTAATATATATTTCACAGATTTATTGAGACAGTTACCAGGAACAAATATGAGTAAAGCACTAATCATAGAATCCACAACAGATTAGGTACCCAGAAATTATTCACTAATTTTTTCTCCATCAATATTTTATGGATATGTGCTGGGCACAGTGGCTCATGCCTGTAACCCTAGGACTTTGGGAGGCTGAGGCAGGAGTGTCACCTGAGGTCAGGAGTTCAAGACCAGCCTGGCCAACATGGTGAAACCCTGTCTCTACTAAAAATACAAAAATTAGCAGGGCGTGGTGGCACCTGCCTGTAATCCCAGCTACTCAGGAGGCTGAGGCAGGAGAATCACTGGCACCCAAGAGACAGAGGCTGCAGGGAGCCGAGATCATGCCACTGCACTCCAGCACTCCAGCCTGGGTAACAGAGCAAGACTCTGTCTCAAAAAATATGTATTTTTTATTTTATGGATATGAATACCAGTATATTTCTCTGTCCCCCAAAAAGCAACAGAATCCCTACTGCTTTATTCACTGTCAAATATCAGATTATCTTGCCTTAGATCTAAATATCATCCAATTTGAAACAACCAAATAATAGGTGACAGAAATTAAAGATTAGCTTCTGGGTAGATGCTTTGAAAGGGCAAATATTCTTTGTATTGGTTCAGAAACGAAGGTCTTGTTTTTAGGAGATAAGGGTTATCTCATACAGCCCCACTTTTCACTTAAGACTTGTTAAAATATAACTGCTCCTCTAATATCTAATTCTTCCATGGAAAATATTGGTAAGTTAAACTTGGTACATGCGGAAAATAGTAACTAAATATTATCATTGTATCATGTAGTAGATATTCCCCTGAGAACACTTCACTTTTTAAAAAATATAAACCTTTATGCTTTCTAAAATTTATTTTAATTCCACAGAACCATAACCAGGTTCTGGTAATGTGATTTTCTGTGTAATAGCCTTATGATCATAATCAAGGACTTACCAATTTCTCCCCGACATGCTTGATTTACTCCCTAAATTTTCTGAAGCAACAGATGTCTTCAGTAATTTTCTACATATTTATTTATTTATGACTTCAATCCTGGTTCAATTTATAGGCTATTTTTGAGGGTCGGTAAAATGCTCCTCTAGGATGCCTACATCAATAAAACCTCAGGTACAAAATGGATATAATAAATGTTATATTACTTGAGTTGATGAAGAAAAAGCAAACTCGAAGACAGATTTATAAAGATTATGCCATCTGAAAAAAATGCAAAGAATAAAAAATGAACTGAGAATCAGAGAAATGGGATGGCATTAATCACACCAATGTACATGTAAAGAGAGTTGCAGGAGGGGAAGAAAGGAAAAAGCAGAAAAGAGATTTTAAAAGATAATGGCTGAAAATGTCTAAATCTGCTTCAAAAAGTATTACTCTGTAAATCCAAAAAGCTCAAACTCTAAGATAAATGTAAAAATATCTACACCCTGACACATTATAAAAGTATTGAAAGTCAAAGACAAGGAACAAATCTTGAAAAAAGCAAGAGAAAAATGATGAGGTTCACAAACGAGGGAGTTCATATACAAGGCAACTCCATCCAATAAGATGAACACCTGACTTTAACAATGCAGGTCAAAAGACAGATGACATAGCCAAAGTACTCAAGAAAATGAAAAACTCCCAACCAAGAATATTATTTACAGCAAAATAATATTTTTAAAATATTAAAACCAAATAAAGACATTCTGGGATAAATTAAAAACTAAGAAAATGCATCAGGGAGAGTGGCCAAGATGGCTGACCGGAAGCAGCAAATGTGTGTGACTCTCACGGAGAGGAGCAGAAGGGAAAAGTAAATACAGAACCTTCCACTGAAACATCCATGTACTCACATTGGGACTAATGAAGGAAACGACTTCACCCACAGAGAACAGGGGAAAGCAAGGCAGGATAACGGCCCACCCAGGACCAACATGGAGTGAAAGGAAGCTCATCTGCCCAGAGAAGAGGTGAGTGAATGTTCAACCCCAGGAACCCATGCTTCTGCCACGGATTTTTGCAACCCTTTGGGCAGGAGATCTCCTTGTGAACCCACTCCACCAAGGCCTTCAGTCTGACACACAGAGAGCTACATGGTGTCTCAGCAGAGCAGCTGCTCAGACATGCAAGGAGACCCAGGAGCTTTAGATACTCCAGATTTCCAGGTGCCCTGGCAAAATAGCTGCGACTCCAGTAAAGTGCAAGATTAGACCCCTGTACATACCCCTAGAAAGAGGTTGAATCCAGGGGGCCCAGGAGTGACGGTCTGCGGGCCCCACTTCCACAGCACCTCACAGGATAAGACCCACTGGCTTAGAATTCTAGCCAGCAGTTGATAGTAGTGTGCTTCCCTGTGATGGAGCTCCAGCGGGAGAGGCAGGCTGCCATCTCTACTGTTGGGGCATCTTAGCTGTTATGGCCTTCAGGCTTTGAAGAGTCCAAGTGAGGGCAGAAGGGATCCCTCAGAACAGTACAGCTGCTCTCCCAAAATGTGGCCAGACTACTTCTTTAAGTGGGTCCCTGATCCCATTCCTCCTCACTGAGCAGGACTCCCAACCAGGGCCTCCAGCCACCTGTGCTGGTGTTCTCCAGCCAACAGACTTGAAAACTCCCTGGGACAGAATTCTTAGAGGGAGACGTGGGCTGCATCTTTGGCGGCTGGGTGACTTAGCTGTTCCAGCCTTTGGGCTTTGGAGAGCCCAGGCCAACTGGAGGTGGAAGCGGTACCCCAGCACAACACAGCTGCCCTACAAAATGGTGACCCAACTGCTTTTTTAAGTGGGTCCCCAATCCTGATCCTCATCCCTGGCTGAAGCCTCTCGACTAGGGTCTCAGGCTACCCCCACCAGTGTTCTCCAGCTGATAGAGGTTTCAGGCCTCCCTGGGACAAAGATCCCAAGGAGAGGGACAGGCCACCATCTCTGCTGTTTGGGTGACTTAGCCATTCTACCCATGGGGCTTCAGAGGGTTCAAGGCAACCTGGGGCTGAAGTGGACCCCCCGCATGGCACATCTGCTCTATGGAAACATGGCCAGACTACATTTTTTTTTTCAGATGGAGTCTTACTCTGTCACCCACGGTGGAGTGCAGTGGCATGATCTCAGCTTACTGCAACCTCTGCCTCCCAGGTTCAAGTGATTCTCCTGCCTTAGCCACCTGAGTAGCTGGAATTACAGACACCTGCCACCACACCTAATTTGTAGGGTTTTTTTGTTGTTTTTTTTTTGTTTGTTTGTTTGTTTTTAGTAGAGACAAGGTTTCACTCTGTTGGCCAGGGTGGTCTTGAACTCCTGACCTCAAGTGATCCACCTTCCTTGGCCTCCCAAAGTGCTGGGATTACAGGCATGAGCCACTGCACCCAGCCAGACTACCTTTTAAAGCAAGTCTCTGATCTTGTTTCTCCTAGCTAGGCAAGACTTCCCAACCAGGTCTTCAGCTATCTCCTAGCTAAAGTGCATTTGGACAAGCAACAGGCCCATACCTCCCTGGGATGGAGCTCCCATAGGGAAGGACAGGCTGCCATCTTTGCTGTTTTGCAGGCTTCACTGGTGATACCTCCAGGTACTGGAAAATCCAAGGTGACTAGGGTCTGGAGCAGATCTCCAGCATACCATAGCAGCTGATGTGGTTTGGCTGTGTACCCACACAAATCTCAACTTGAATTTTATCTCCCAGAATTCCCACGTGTTGTGGGAGGGACCCAGGAGGAGGAATTGAATCATGGGGGCCACTCTTTCCCAGGCTATTCTCATGAAAGTAAGTCTCATGAGATCTGATGGGTTTATCAGGGGTTTCCACTTTTGCTTCTTCCTTATTTTCTCTTGCCACCACCGTGTAAGAAGTGCCTTTCACCTCATGCCATGATTCTGATGCCTCCCCAGCCATGTGGAACTGTAAATCCAACTGAACCCTTTTTTTCTTCCCAGTCTCAGATATGTCTTTATCAGCAGCATGAAAACAGACTAATACAGCAGCCCTATGGAAAAGTGGCCAGATTGTTAAAAGAAAAAAAAATCCAAAAGTCAGCAACCTCAAAGATTGAAGGCAAGTAAGCCCACAAAGATGAGAAAGAATCAGCACAAGACTGCTGAAAAAAAACCAGACTACCTTCTTTCCTCAAAATGACCACATCAACTCTCTAGCAAGGGTTCAGAACCAGCTTGAGGCTGAGATGGCTAAACTGACAGAAGTAGAATTCAGAATATAGATAGAAACATAGTTCACTGAGTTACAGGAGCACATTGTAACCAATGCAGGGAAGATAAAAGTCATGACAAAACATTGCAGGAGCTGACAAAATGGCCAGTAAGAAGAAGAACATAACCTGATAGAGCTGAAAAACACACTACAAGAATTTCATAATATAATCACAAGTATTCATAACAAAATAGACCTGGCAGAGGAAATAATCTTAGAGCTTGAAGACTGGCTTTCTGAAATAAGAAGGCAGAGAAGAGAGAAAAAATAATGAAAATGAATGAATAAAACTTCTGAGAAATATGGGATTATGTCAAGAGACTAAATCTACGACTAACTGGTATACCTGAAAGAGATGGGGAGAATGGAACCAACTTAGAAAACATATTTCAGGATATCATCCATGAGAACTTCCCCAACCTACCTAGAGATGCCAACATTTAAATTCAGGAGATGCAGGGAATCCCAGTAAGATACTCCACGATAAATTATCCAAAGACGAAATGAAAGAAAAAATATCAAAGGCAAATAGAGAGAAAGGCCAGGTTGCTTACAAAGTGAAGCCCATCAGACTGACAATGGGCCTCTCAGCTGAAACCCTACAAGCTAGAAGAGATTGGGGGACAATAGTCAACATTCTTAAAAAAGAAATTCCAACCCAGAATTCCAGATCCAGCCTAACTAAGCTTCATAAGTGAATGCTGAAGAAATTTGTTACCACCAGACCTGCCTTACAAGAACTCCTTAAGGAAGCACTAAATATGGAAAGAAAAGACTATTATCAGCCACTAAGAAAACACACTGAACTACACAACCCAGTGATACTATAAAGCAACCACATAAACAAGTATGCAAAATAACCAGCTAACATCATGATGACAGGATCAAATCCACACATATAAATACTAATCTTAAATGAAAATGGGTTAATATCACAATTAAAAGACACAGAGTGATAAGCTGAGTAAAGAACCAACCTATTGGTATGCTGTCTTCAAGAGACCCATCTCAGAGGCAACAAAACACAGGCTGAAAATAAAGGGATGGAGAAAAATCTACCAAGCAAATGGAAAACAGAAAAAAGCAGGGGTTAAAATTCTAGTTTCTGCCAAAACAGACTTTAAACCAACAAAGATTAAAAAAAGACAAAGAAGGGCATTACATAATGGTAAAAGGTTCAATTCAACCAGAAATATAACTATCTATCTTAAATATATATGCACCCAATAGAAGAGCACCCGGATTCACAAAGCAAGTTCTTAGAGACTTCAAAGAGATTTAGACTTCCTCACAATAATAGTGGGAGACTTTAACACCCAACTGACAATATTAGACAGATCACCAAGACACAAAGTTAACAAGGATATTCAGGACCTGAATTCAGCACTGAATCAAATTGACCTGATAGATATTTTCAGAACTCTCTATCCCAAAACAATTGAAAATATATTATTCTGATTGCACATGGCACATACTCTGAAATCAATCACATAATCTGATGTCAAACACTCCTCAGCAAATGCAAAAGAATTGAAATCATAACAGACCACAGGGCAATCAAATTAGAAATCAAGACTAAGAAATTCATTCAAAACCATATAATTACATGGAAATTAAATAATGTGCTCCTGAATTACTTTTGGGTAAACAAGGCAGAAATCAAGAAGTGTTTTGAAACTAATGAGAACAAAGATACAACATACCAGAATCTCTGGGACACAGCTAAGGCAGTGATAAAAGAGAAATGTATAGCACTAAATCCCCACATCAAAAAGTTAGAAAAATCTCAAGTTAACTACCTAATATCACAACTAAAAGAACTAGAGAACCAAGAGCAAACAAATCCCAAAGCCAACAGAAGACAAGAAATAACCAAAATCAGAGCTGAACTGAAGGAGATAGAGACATGAAAAACCATTCAAAAGATCATTGAACCCAGGAGCTGTTTGTTTGTTTTTTTTTTTTGAAAAAAAATAGACCACTAGCTAGACTAATAAAAAGAGAAAAGATTCAAATAAACACAATCAGAAATGACTAGGGGAATATTACCACTTACCCCACAGAAATACAAGTAACCATCAGAGAAAATTATGAACCCTCTGTGCACATAAACCAGAAAATCTAGAAGAAATGGATAAATTCCTGGACATATACACCATCCCAAGACTTAACCGGGAAGAAACTGAATCCCTGAAGAAACCATTAATGAGCTCTGAAATTGAAAAAGTAATCAATACCTTACCAACCAAAAAAAAAAAAAAAAAATACAACCCAGGACCAAATGGAGTCACAGCTGAATTCCTGAATTCTACCAGATGCACAAAGAAGAGCCAGTACCATTCCTACTGAAAATATTCCAGAAGATTGAGGAGGAGGGACCCCTCCCTAACTCATTCTATGAGGTGAACATCATCCTGACACCAAAACCTGGCAGATACACAAGAAAAAAAGGAAACTTCAGATCAATATCATCGATGCCCAAAACAACGCCATTAACTCATAGGCAAAAAGACATGAACAGACACGTTTCAAAAAATACATGCAGCCAACAATCACATGAAAAGAAGCTCAACATCACCGATCATTAGAGAAACACAAATCAAAACCACAAGGAGATACCATCTCATACCAGTCAGAAGGGCTACTATTAAAAAGTCAAAAAATAACAGATGCTGGCAAGGTTGAGGATAAAAAAGAATGCTCCTACACTGTTGATGGGCATGTAAGTTAGTTCAACTATTAAGGAAGACAGTGTAGTGATTCCTCAAAGACCTAAAGACAGAAAGACCATTCAACCCAGCAATCCCATTACTGGGAACACTCAAAGGAATATACATAATTCTATTATAAAAGACACATGTATGTGTATAATCATTGCAACAGTATTCACAATAGCAAAGATATGGAATCAAACTAAATGCCCATCAGTGATAGACTGGATAAAGAAAATGTGGTACTTATATACCACGGAACACTAGGTAGCCATACAAAAGAATGAGATCATATCCTTTGCAGGGACATGGATGAAGGTGGAGGCCATTATCCTTAGCAAACTAACACAGTAACAGAAAACCAAATACCTCATGTTCTGTTATAAGTGGGAAATAAACGATGAGAACACATGGACACATAGAGGGGGACAACACACAATGGGGCCTGTTGGTGGGTGGAGGCTAGGAAGAGGAAGAGGATCAGGAAAACATAACTAATGGGTACTAGGTTTAATATCTAGGTGATGAAATAATCTGTACAACGAACCCCCATGACACAAGTTTACCTATATAACAAACTTGCACTTGTACCCCTGAATTTAAAATGCATCAGTAGCATACCAATCTTACAAGAAATACTAAAACAACCTCTTCATGCTGAAAGCAAGTGACACCAGAGAGAAATCTGAATCAATATAAAGAAAGAAAGTACATCAGCTAAAGTGTCTGTGTAGGTAATTGTAAAAGACACTATGATTGCATATTTATTCTTTTTCTGACCTGATTTAATAAGTATTAATAGTTACCTTAAACAATATGTATATATTTGTATAAAAGTGCTAAGAAGATAGATGAGAACAAATATGTTTGACCCTAAGAAAATTATACCTTATGGTAACTGAGATTCACAAGAAGAAATAAGAGAATCATGAAACATAATAAGATAAATACAACTATCACGTGAAATTCACCCCCGATATTTCATGTAGGTTCTTTTCTATTTTCCCTAAGTGTCAGCCTGTCTGAGAAATAAAGGAATAGAGTACAAAAGACAGAAATTTTAAAGCTGGGTGTCCGGGGGAGACATCACATGTCGGCAGTTTCTGCGATGCCCCCTGAGCCGTAAAACCAGCAAGTTTTTATTAGTGATTTTCAAAAGGGGAGGGAGTGTACGAATAGGGTGTGGGTCACAGAGGTCACATGCTTCACAAGGTAATAAGATATCACAAGGCAAATGGAGGCAGGGCGAGATCACAGGACCACAGGACTGGGGCAAAATTAAAATTGCTAATGAAGTTTCGGGCACACATTGTCATTGATAACATCTTATCAGGAGACAGAGTTTGAGAGCAGACAACCAGTCTGACCAAAATTTATTAGGCAGGAATTTCCTCGTCCTAATAAGCCTGGGAGTGCTACAGGAGATCAGGGCTTATTTCATCCTACAGCTACAACCGTAAAAGACAGCCGCCCCCAAAGCGGCCATTTTAGAGGCCTCCCCTCAGGGACGCATTCTCTTCCTCAGGAATGTTCCTTGCTGAGAAAAAGAATTCAGCGATATTTCTCCTATTTGCTTTTGAAAGAAGAGAAATATGGCTCTGTTCCGCCTGGCTCACCAGCCATCAGAGTTTAAGGTTATCTCCCTTGTTCCCTGAACATTGCTGTTATCCTGTTCTTTTTTCAAGGTGCCCAGATTTCATATTGTTCAAACACACATGCTCTATAAACAATTTGTGCAGTTAACGCAATCATCACAGGGTCCTGAGGTGACGTACATCCTCCTCAGCTTATGAAGATGATGTGATTAAGAGATTAAAGTAAAGACAGGCATAGGAAATCACAAAGGTATTGATTAGGGAAGTGATAAGTGTCCATGAAATCTTCACAACTTATGTTCAGAGACTGCAGTAAAGACAGGTGTAAGAAATTATAAAAGTATTAATTTGGGGAACTAATAAATGTCCATGAAATCTTCACAATTTATGTTCTTCTGTCATGGCATCAGCTGGTCCCTCCATTTGGGGTCCCTGACTTCCCACAACATATAACAACCTCTATAAAAATGCAGCGATAGAAATGGGAGAAAAAAAATACACTTTAAAATATTTACAAAGGTCATTTGAGAAAAGAATATTTATAATTTATAAAGCAAATCAACCTAGAAGATATAACACTTATATGTGTATATGCATATAAAAGAGGCCCCAAAATACATAAAGTAAAAACTGAGTTGAAAAAAATTGAAAATTCAACAATAATAGATACTTAAATACCTGACATTCAATATGTATTGAGCGACTACACAGAAAATTAAGGAAATGGAAGACTAAGAAAACCCTATAAACCAACTAGACATAATACAAGTATATTAAAATACTATACCAAAATCACCGGACTATGTATTATCCTCAAGTGTATTGAGAACATCCTTCAGGATAGCCCATAATCTGGGACATAAAATAATTCTCAGTAAATTTTAAGATTAAAACTGTTCAACATACATTCTTCTTTCACAATGAAATTAAATTGGAAATGCATGATGGGGCTCAACTGTACAGCCTCTCAGTGTGAGGTGTTCTAAAGACCCACTCCCTAGTAAATCTGGTGAAAATTATTATTTTAAAATATTTTCAAATCTCTCAAATTGGTCCTAACACATATAGAATATGAAAAAAGCTTTCAAGAAAATTGACTAAAATTCAGTAAGAACAGCAAGAATCTGTGATATTTGATGAGAGACCCACTCGCTCCCTAACCCCTTCCAATTCAGTAAGATGTAAACCCTACTTCATACAGGTGTACCCAAGAACAGAGAGCTCCCTCAAACTCCAGATCTCACAGAGCTATTTTCCCAAGAGAGGCAGGATATCAGCGTTTCTCATTCTACCCCAGCTTCCTGCTGCTGCAGCCAAGTTCTAGGTGGATGCAGCTGAGAAATGAAATAATTTCAAAATGCCTATCAGTCTGAAATTTTATTCCCATAAAAGCTATCGTTTAAGAGTGAGGGAGTGACTTTTTTTTGGCCAAAAACAAACAAATGAGACAGTTTTTCTATCAACAGATGTCTACTAAAGGGAGTTGTAGAGGACTGACTTTTACATAAAAGGAAAACGATTCTTATAGAAAAGCTTGAATCTCAGCAAGGTATGATAAAAAATGTGAACATAGTTTGTACAATTTTAATCTTTTAAAATTGATTGAGACTTATGTTTTATGCTAAATGTGTAGGTAAATGTCAACAAAAAGTTATAGTGTAACAATAATCTCATATAATTTGCAGTTAAAAAAACATGATAGGACAAACATTTTGAAAAATAATAGCAATAAGGGTAGGTATTTGGAATTATAGCCTTGTAAGATTATTTTCTTGTTTGGAAGAAGAACATAATACTGTTAAATTTTAGACTTTGTGAAGTTAAATATTTACGTTAACATTCCTAGAGTAATAAATAAAAGAATAGAAATAGAGCCTGAAACGGTCAACCAGTAAAGAAAAACAATGACAAAAGGAGGAAGAAAAACTAATCTAAAAGAACTCAAGAAAAGAAATTTTTAAAAGACAACTAGAAGATTGATATAGCATAAAAGAATTCAAACATAATCACAATCAACACAAATGGACTAAATATCCTATTATAATTAAGAATTATGGGCCAGGCACAGTGGCTCACACCTGTAATCTCAGCAATTTTGGAGACCAAGGTGGGAGGATCCCAGGTGTTTAAGACCAGGCCCAGCAACATAGTGAGACCCCATCTCCACAAAAAATTTAAAAAATTAGCTCAGCATGATGGCATATGTATGTAGTCCCAATTACTCAGGAGGCTGAGATGGGAGAATCACTTGAGCCTAGAAAGTCAAGGCTGCAGTGAGCCACAGTTGTGCCACTGCACTTCAGCCTATGCAACAGAATGATGCCCTGTCTAAAGAAAAAAATTATAAAAAATAAATTGACAAGAAATATAACTACATTGTTTTGAAAATAGACATATTGACAATAAGGAAATACAAAGTTTGATATTAAAGCTTGAAAAAGTGCACCAAGAAAATAGTAAACAAATGGAAGTTGGGATGGTTATATTAGCATCAAATAAAATAGTCTTGTGGCCAAAAGGAGGACCAGAGATAAAAGCAGCTATGATGGCTAAATAGATGGACCCAGCATTTTCCTCCTTCACAAAGAAATATCAAAACAGTAAGTAGATAAACACACATCAAATGGACTAAGTGAAAAGAATAAAATTCAGTAAAGAAGTAATGAAGACTCTCTGAGACATGAAGACTTGCAATGGCAGCATAGAGAAGGAAGAGAAAGCCAGAATTGACTTAGAGCCAGGAGGGACTTCCCACTGTGGGAAAAAAGTAAGCAGAAGATCCCCAGGATTCCACATTTCCACCATGAATACTTGTGATCCTGGCTATAGGAGAGATCCATAGCCCTTGGAAGACAGTCCAGTCTTGGGAGCTGCCTGGAGTCCAGGTTACTTCATTATTCCTGGGAAATAATTCACACTGCATCCCCCTGACCTCCAAAGACACAGGCAGTAACAGAACCTCACCATTTTCAGAGTAAGCCCACGACCAGAGTGCATCCTAACCTGTAGTCCAAAAGCATCCCTGGGGTGGTACCAACATCTCATGACATCTACCCAAAGGGCTACAGTGTCATGACACCTGTTGGACCCAGCAGTAAAGCAGTGATCCTGGAATTGAAGCCCATGCAGTGCCCTATGCCCCAGGTCAAAGGAGGTCCAGCACACAGCAAGCAGGCTACCCCCAGGACTGAAGGAGATGACATACTCAGTCCCCAGAACCTGAGATCTGCCTAGCTAAGGCCTGCTGCTGCTACTAGCAACCCTATGTCCCATCAGAGCTGAGCTGCCCTGAACTCATGCATGCCTTCTAATGCCTTGAGAACCAGCCTGCCTGACATCACTGCCACCAGCAGAGCTATGCCATAGCTTTCACGAACAACAGCCTGTGACAGAAGGCACTCACAGACACCACTGACATTAATTACAGCAGAAAAAATCATATGAAGACTACATTACTGTGCCCACCCTCAACCAAAGCCAAAGCACCCTACCCAAGCAACACTGTAGGACATATCTATAGGAAAAAAAAGTGTTTCCTTATGAAGGCTATTCCATGCAATTGGAAAGGGTGAGTGTTCCACCACAGGTGCGAATATAAAAAAAAAAAGGGACATAAGAAATGTGAAAAAGCAAGGAAACATGACCTTCAAAGGTAGATAATAATTATTCTGTAACAATCAAAGAAGAAAGGAGGTTGCTTCCAAGATGGCCAAATAGGAACAGCTCCAATCTGCAGCTCCCAGAGAGATCGACGCAGAAGACAGGTGATTTCTGCATTTCCAACAGAGGTACCTGGTTCATCTCATTGGGACTGGTTGGACGATGGGTGCAGCCCACAGAGGGTGAGCCAAAGCAGGGCAGGGCATCACCTCAACCGGGAAGTGCAAGGAGTCGGGGGATTTCCCTTTCCTAGACAAGGGAAGCCGTGACAGACTATACCTGGAGGAACAGTACACTGCCGCCCAAATACTGTGCTTTTCCCACAGTCTTAGCAAACGGCAGACCAAGGGATTCCCTCCCGTGCCTGGCTCAGTGGGTCCCACACCCATGGAGTCTTGCTCACTGCTAGCGTAGCAGTTGGAGATCAACCTGTGAGGCTGCAGGCTGGCAGGGGGAGGGGCGTCCGCCATTGCTGAGGCTTGAGTAGGTAAACAAAGCGGCTGAGAAGCTTGAACTGGGCGGAGCCCACCACAGCTCAGTAAGGCCTACTGCCACTCTAGACTCCCCCTCTGTGGGCAGGGCATAGCTGAACAAATAAAAACGCAATAAAAAAATGCAATAAAAAACGATAAAGGGGATATCACCACTGATCCCACAGAAATACAAACTAGCATCAGAGAATACTATAAATACCTCTACACAAATAAACTAGAAAATCTAAAAGAAATGTATAAATTCTGGGACACATACACCCTCCCAAGACTAAACAAGGAAGAAGTTGAATCTCTGAATAGAGCAATAACAGGCTCTGAAATCGAAGCAATAATTAGTAGCTTACCAACCAAAAAAGTCCAGGACCAGAAGGATTCACAGCCAAATTCCACCAGAGGTACAAAGAGGAGCTGGGACCATTCATTCTGAAATTATTCCAATGAATAGAAAAAGAGGGAATCCTCCCTAGCTCATTTTATGAGGCCAACATCATCCTGATACCAAAGCCCGGCAGAGACACAACAAAAAAAAAAAAAAAAAAAGAGGATTTTAGGCCAACATACCTGATGAACGTCAATGCAAAAGTTCTCAATAAAATACTGGCAAACCGAATCCAGTAGCACATCAAAAAGCTTATCCACCATGATCAAGTCAGCTTCATCCCTGGGATGCAAGGCTGGTTCAACATATGCAAATCAATAAACATAATCCATCACATAAACAGAACCAACGACAAAAACCACGATTATCTCAATAGATGCAGAAAAGGCCTTTGACAAAATTCAACAGCGCTTCATGCTAAAAACTCTCAATAAACTAGGTATTGATGGAACACATCTCAAAATAATAAGAGCTATTTATGACAAACCCACAGCCAATAACATATGGAATGGGCAAAAACTGGAAGCATTCCCTTTGAAAACTGGCACAAGACAGGATGCCCTCTCTCACCACTCCTATTCAACATAGTGTTGGAAGTTCTGGTTAGAGCAATCAGGCAAGAGAAAGAAATAAAGGGTATTCAATTAGGAAATGAGGAAGTCAAATTGTCCCTGTTTACAGATGACATGATTGTATATTTAGAAAACCCCATCATCTCAGCCAAAAATCTCCTTAAGCTGATAAGCAACTTCAGCAGTCTCAGGATACAACATCAATGTGCAAAAATCACAAGCATTCCTATACACCAATAACAGACAAACAGAGAGCCAAATCGTGAGTGAACTCCCATTCACAATTGCTACAAACAGAATAAAATACCTAGGAATCCAACTTACAAGGGATATGAAGGACCTCTTCAAGGAGAACTATAAACCGCTGCTCAACGAAATAAAAGAGGACACAAACAAATGGAAGGATATTCCATGCTCATGGATAGAAAGAATCAATATTGTGAAAATGGCCATACTGTCCAAAGTAATTTATAGATTCAATGCCATCCCCATCAAGCTACCAATGACTTTCTTCACAGAATTGGAAAAAACTACTTTAAAGTTCAAATGGAACCAAAAAAAGAGCCTGCATTGCCAAGACAATCCTAAACCAAAAGAACAAAGCTGGAGGCATCATGCTACCTGACTTCAAACTATACTACAAGGCTACAGTAACCAAAACTGCATGGTACTGGTACCAAAACCAGATATACAGACCAATGGAACAGAACAGAGCTCTCAGAAATAACATCACACATCTACAATCATCTGATGTTTGACAAACCTGACAAAAACAAGCAATGGGGAAAGGATTCCCTATTTAATAAATGGTGCTGGGAAAACTGGCTAACTATATGTAGAAAGCTGAAACTGGATCACTTCCTTACACCTTATACAAAAATTAATTCAAGATAAATTAAAGACTTAAATGTTAGATCTAAAGCCATAAAAGCCCTAGAAGAAAACCTAGGCAATACTATTCAGGACATAGGCATGGGCAAAGACTTCATGACTAAAACACCAAAAGCAATGGTAACAAAAGCCAAAATTGACAAATGGGATCTAATTAAACTAAAGAGCTTCTTCATGGCAAAAGAAACTCTCACGCCAATTAGAATGGCAATCATTAGAAAGTCAGGAAACAACAGATGCTGGAGAGGATATGGAGAAATAGGAACGCTTTTACACTGTTGGTGGGAGTGTAAATTAATTCAACCATTGTGGAAGACAGTGTGGCAATTCCTCAGGGATCTAGAACTAGAATTACCATTTGACCCAGCAATCCCATTACTGGGTATATACCCAAAGGATTATCAATCATGCTACTATAAAGACACATGTACACGTATGTTTACTGCGGCACTATTCACAATAGCAAAGACTTGGAACCAACCCAAATGTCCATCGATGATAGGCTGGATTAAGAAAATGTGGCACATATACACCATGGAATACTATGCAGCCATAAAAAAGGATGGGTTCACATCCTTTGTAGGGACATGGATGAAGCTGGAAACCATCATTCTCAGCAACCTATCACAAGGACAGAAAACCAAACGTCACATGTTCTCACTCATAGGTGGGAATTGAACAATGAGATCACTTAGACACAGGGTGGGGGACATCACACACTGGGGCCTGTCAGGGGGAGGATAGCATTAGGAGAAATACCTAATGTAAATGATGAATTGATGGGTGAAGCAAACCAACATGGCACATGTATACCTATGTATCAAACCTGCATGTTGTGTACATGTACCCTAGAACTTAAAGTATAATAAAAAAAAAAAAAAAGAAAGAAAGAAAAAGAAGTAATTCAGCAATGGAAAATCTTGTGCTAAAGATTTAGCACTTAGCACATACCAGGAATGAAGGACACAGTGCCTGCAAGGGTGTCCCAGCGCCTGTGCTCAGACTGCCCACACCCAGGGGACTCAGAGGCTGACTCCTGCAGTGGGCTTCATTTTGGTTTTCTGTTTGTTGGTAGTCTCCACACGACTCACTTGCATTTTCTGCCCCTCTGCCCAGTTTTTCCCAAGGCTGCTTTCTTCCTGTCATTCTCTGCTCATCCTCATCTTCCATTTCAGTTTTCACTCTCTAACAGCCTGTTCCTCACAGCTACCCCTAGGCAGAGATGTGGCCTCTCTCTACCTTTAGACTAGACAGAGACCTTGTCCTGACAAATCCATACAAAATGTCCACTCCTGCTCCGTGTTATGTGAATGCCCCACAGGTTGCCATTGTTCGAAGGCTAATTTGGCAGCAGCTTATATGTTACATCTCCACTCTGATGTGTCATAGGCACAAAAAGTCCACATTATGAATGAAAAGGTAAGATACATGTTCCAGAATAAGAGTTTAAAGAGACATTAGAAGCAAATGCAACGTGTGAACTTTGATGGGATTCTGGCTCAGAAAACCCAAATATGTAAAACGTATTTTGGGAATAATTGGAAATTTGAATGAAGACTAAGTCAGCTTGTACTATAGAATTGCAATAATTTTATGTAAACGTATTAACAGTATGGTTGCAAACTATGTAAAGAATGTCAATTTAGGAGATAAATGGTTAAGTTTTTAGGGGTGAGGTGCCATGATGTCTTCAACATACTTTTACAAGGTTTAGCCACCTTGTGATCAACAGGTATGAATAGAAAGAGAAATGTAAAGCACATATAACAAAATGTTTACAATTGTTAATCTAGGAGTAGGGCATGTGGGAATTCATTCTACTTTTTATTTTTCTAAATTGTCTGTACATTTGGAGATTTCCATAATAAAAAGTTGAGAAAACATACTTTGAAATAAAAAATAAATCACAAAAGAGATTAGAAAAAAAATACTTAGAGCTGAATCATATTGAAAGCAATATAGAGTGGTAGGGATTAATCAGAAGAGTGTTGATCCCCTGCAGTATGGTGTCTCAGAACAGAGGCTGGTCTCTAGCAAAGCTCAAGGAAACCACATTGAGTAAGCCAGGGTCCTTGATTGTGTCCAAGGAAGAGCTAGTGCTTACCCAACCAGGAACATGGAACTGTCAAACCAGACACAATTGCAATAATATGCAGGGTCTTGCTGCATATTGTTGCAGTTATATCTCAGCCCCTGATATAACCAGGGAAAGAGTCAATGCTGTTCTAGTTTGCATATTCAAGAGTTGAGTTTCCCCTCTCCAAGTATGACATCTGACCTTTCTAGACTAAGCAGCCCTAGACAGGGAATAGAATAATGAAGGACCTACACACCTGACCCTACTCTGTCGTCATGACTTTTTGCATACAGTTCCTGCAACCTGGCATACATGCCGCTTGGCCATTGTTGCATGATGGATATGACAAATGCGGGACAGAGCTAATGCAATATTTAAAGGAAAATGTATGGCTTGAGCAGATTATATTTAAATAAAGCTTGATAATTAATGATTTAGACAACACAAATTAAGAAAGCAAAAATAAAAACAAAACACAAAAAGGTAGGCAAAAGCAAATAAGATGAGAGAAGATATTAATAAAAAGAAAACACACATACAATATAGGGGATTAACAATGTCCAAGTTGTTTCTTTGAGAAGGTTAATAAAATACAGAAACCCCTCCAGAAGTGATTAATAAGAAATGGGATTCATAAATAAAAATTTTAAAATTAGATTTATAGATATAGTAGAAATTAGTAAGATAAAACACTTTTTACAACTCCATGCCAATGAAGTTTACTACTTACATAAATGGACAAATCCCTTGAATTATATGATTTATCAACATCACCTAAGAAATATTTTAAAGGAAAATAATATTATAGTCTTTAAATAAGTCAAATCATCATGGATTTTATGTGATAGGCTAGATAATATTAGAAAGTGTTCTTTTAAATATTCAAGAGACAAAAAAATTTCAATATTATTTGAAATCTTTCAGAAAAGTTTAAGAGATTAAAAATTCGTTATCCTCTTATTAGCTGTGGAAGAGCCATTGGTAAAATTTGACAACCACTTCTAACAAATCTCTTAACAAACTAGGAATAAAAGGGGATCCATCATAAATCTATAGCAAATATCTGAGCCAATGATTAAACATTAAAAGCACTCCTTTTACAATCATATAAAATAAAAAGCTGCTATTATGCCTTCTATTCCAAATAATACTGAAAGTCTTAAATAATGTGATAAGACAAAAAGCAACAAAACATACAGAGATTGAAAAGTTAGAAACGAAACTGTCATTATTGCATATGATTACTCATGTAGGGAAACCTCCAATGAAAATATTTAAGTTCAAATTACTACAATGTATAAGAGATTAGACAGATTGCTTAATATAAAGTCTGCTGCATTTTTTCAAAGGCAAAAGAGAATCAGAAAATTCAATTTTAAATAAAGCAGCATTTATCAGAGCAAGATTGAATAGGTAATTAAGAATAAATCTAATGTAGGATGTGTGTGCAAGACCTCTTTGAGGAAAATTACAAAGCTTTATTAAAGGACATTTAAAATACTTAGGCTAAGTTCGTGGTTATACAGCCTCAATACAATAAAAATGTTGGTTCTCCCGAATTGAATTCAATGCAATTCCAATAGATAGCCCAATATGTTTCTTTTTCAGGAATCTTAGTAATCTCAAATGTATATCAAGGAGCACAGAGTCAAGATTAGCAAGATAACCCTCCCTAAAAGAAGAGTAAAGTGGAGAAAATTTTGCTATCAGTAATCAAGACTTTTTATAAAACTATTGTCAAAAAAACACATTATGTGTACAGGAATATAAAAATAGGCCAATGGAAAATAACAGCCTCAAAACACACACACACACACACACACACACACACACACACACACACACAGAGAGAGAGAGAGAATCTGATTTATGATGCAGTGAAATTGAAAATAGGAAAAATCAATTATTTGATAAACAATGCTGAGACAAATTATCCATGTGAAGAAAATTGGGCCCCTACTTTATAGCATGCATAATTATGGTTTTAGTTAGAATTCTAGTACTTCACATATTACCCTTTTTTTTTTTTTGAGATGGAGTCTCGCTTTGTCACCCAGGCTGGAGTGCGGTGGCGCGATCTCGGCTCTCTGCAAGCTCCGCCTCCCGGGTTCACGCCATTCTGCTGCCTCAGCCTCCTGAGTAGCTGGGACTACAGGCATGCGCCACCTCACCCGGCTAATTTTTTGTATTTTTAGTAGAGACGGGGTTTCACCGTGTTAGCCAGGATGGTTTCGATCTCTTGACCTCGTGATCGGCCTGCCTCGGCCTCCCAAAGTGTTGGGATTACAGGCATGAGCCACCGCTCCCAGCCTAACTTATTTTTAACTCGAAACTGCAAAATTATAGAGACTTTCTTTTTACATTATCCTTAGAGATGATAAAACTGAGACACAGAGAGGTTGAATCCAAGTTAAAAAAGTTGAAATATCCACAGGGGAAATTTACCAAGTAACTGATAAAAGGTGGAGTTCAAAACTCAGATGGTCTGAGGTTAAAATCCTTGCTCCTAACCACTACTCCAACTGTTTTTTAAAATAATTCCAGATAGATGAAACACTTAAATGGAAAATCTAACTTTGTAACTTTTAGAAAAAAATCAACAAAAATACCTTCATAATTATTTGGTAGTAAAAAATTTCTAACCAAGGTGCTAAAAGCACACACCACAATGGACAAGATAAATTCACCAGCAATAAACTCCACTTCATCAAAGACTCTATAGAAAGACAAAACTTTGAGCCACAAAACTGGGAGATGATATATAAAATATTTATAACCCACAAAGAATAAGTATTCAGAATTTTTTAAAAATTATTTTAAGACAATAATGAAAAAATTAAAAAATTTATTTCAAAGAACAAAAGATATAACAGGCATTTCTTGTACAAGCATTTCACAAAAGATGAACCAAGAATTGCCAAAATACTCAAACTTGATATCCTCCAACTCATCAGTAGTCAGGAAAATGCAAAGTAAAGCCAAAATTAGATTCCATTCCATACCCGTCAGATTGGCAAAAATAAAATACAATGATAACACCAAGTATTGGCAAAGACATAGAATGGTAGAATCTCCATACACCACCGGCCAGAATATAACTCTGGCCAACTACTTTAGATAGAATTCACGTTACCGAATAAGGGGGAAAATACACATTGCTGTCTATACAACAGTCCCACTTGTAAGCCATACACAATATTCTTGGCAGCATTGTTTATAATCCTCCCCCAAATGTTTTAAACTGCACATATGTTTTTCAACAATAAAGCAGATATATAAATATAGATGTGTTTGTACCATTAAATATCATCTAGCAGTGGAAATAAATAAAATAGGTCTATACATCAACATCAACAAACATTTATTTTTCATTTAATTTGTTTATCAAAAGCTTAAATTTAACATTAAAGAAAACAAATAGAACATATACTGCATGATGCCATAAAGGTCAAAAATAGGCAAAACTAAATAATGTATGGCTTAGGGATACACACATATGTAGCAAAACTATAAAGGAAACCAAGGGAGTTATTTTTTAAAAAAGATAAAATGTTGCTAATGTGAGAAAGGGAGGATTACAAATTGGAGAAGGGCACAGCAGACTACTGATGTTTGCGGGATGCCCTTTCTCAAATTGCATGTTAGATACCAGCATGATCATTTTATCATTATCCTCCAAACAATAAACACACATCAGATATACTTTTAAAAATATATGATACACATTTAAAGTACATGATTGATATTTAAAAGAGTTTTCAAAAAGGAATGTAAGAAATCAGCCTAGTCTGCAATGAGGCAAAGAAAATGGTCAAGAGCTTCTTACTGCCTTCATGTGTATTTGAAGGTCAGAGGAGAGAACCCACATTTTGTTTCTTTTCTTTTACACTGTTTTTTTTGCTTTCATTTTTGTTTCTACCAGTCACATATTAGTTCTGAATTTAAAATAAGAGCAATAATAATGTTTCAATGGAACTCTTTATGCTTAAAATAAATTTTTAAGAGTTTCAAGATATAGTAAGTAAAATAAAACAAACAAAATGTTCTTCAACGGGTATATAAATAAACAGTGGAATATCCACAGCGAATACTGCTCAGTTTAAAGAAAAAAGGGATTGATAGGCATTGATACACACAACAACTCAATGGCCGTATGCTGAAAAAAATAAGCCAGTCTCCAAAGGTTACACACTGCATGATTCCATTTTTATGACATTCTCAAAAAGACAAAACTATAGTGAGGGAGAACAAATCAGTGATTGCCATGGGGAATGGAGGGAGATGTTCAGGGAGATGAAACTTTTCTGTATGCTGATCATGGTGGTAACTTCATAAATCCATCCATGTAAAAAATCATAAAACCATACATCCCCCCAATACGCACACAACAATTAAGGGAAGGAAAGAAGGAAGAAAGGAAGGGAGGAAGGGAGGGAGAGAGGGAGGGAAGGAGGGAGGAAGGGAGGGAGGGAGGAAGGGAGGGAGGGAGGAAGGGAGGGAGGGAGGAAGGGAGGGAGGAAGGGAGGAAGGGAGGGAGGGAAGAAGGGAGGGAAGGAAGTTATTCATCTTGCAATGCAATGTGGTATTCTAGATTGGAGCCAGAAACAGAAAATGAACATTAGTGAGAAAAAAAAAAAATGACTGACATCCAAATAAAGTCTGTAGTTTCATTAATAGTAATGTACTGGTTTAAATTTCTTAGTTTTGACAAATGCACTACAGAAATGTAAGATGTTCATATTAGGAGAAACTGGACAAGGGTATATAGAAACCCTTTGTATTATCTTTGCAACTTTTCTGTGAATCTAAAATTCTTTCCCCTAAATGTTTGGTTAAAAAAATTCCAAGAACAATGTAAATGCTATAATTTTTATTTTAAACATGGAAGAAGGAACATATCTGTGTTTTTGTTTAATCCATAGATGTCTCTAGAATAATATACAAAATACCAGTTGCTTCTCAGGAGAGAAAATGGGTCTCTAGAGGACAAAAGTATGAAAGATATTTCTAAATTATGCACTTTTATATTTTCAATTTTGTATCATGTGAATATATTTACTATTTGAAATGAAATTAATTTTTTAAAAAATCCCATGTGTGGAATTGGTTGGCCAAAGGCTGTGTATCTTTTACTTTTTGATACAGCCAGATGGCCTGGGGAGAATTTTCTCATGAAGGGATAAGAAAATAGCCCCAGGCTCATTTGTGAGAATCTCCTTAGTTCATGGTAACAGTCCTGCAATTCATTATTAATCTTTAGTTGTTTCAATGATTCTAGCAGCTTCTAATCACTAAACTCTGTACCATGCTCAGCCCAGAGCAGTCCTGTCACCAGAACTCAGGTTGCAAAATGGAAGGTGAATGTTGGGTTTCATCGAGTTATGCTTTGAGGACCCCAAGGACAGACTCTGCCCTGTCATAAAATAAAGACCATCTGCCCCTGTGGATGGCAGTTTGTCATTAACCAGAGACACCCACAGGAAAAAAAAAAATCACAAATCCTTTTCTATGCTTCTGTGGAAACAATGGACTCTTCTTACAGAAGCTCCAGAGGGGAAGAGCCCAGTGGGTGAACCTAGCCTTGCAATCATCAGTCCTTCCTGCAAGAGATGTGTCCCCCGCTGGGCAAATTATTTGATATATTTCCTCTGTCTATGGATATCAATTCATATTTCATATTCGCCTTAGAAAAAAAGAAAAAAAATTACTGACAGTTATCTCCAAAAGTGGTTTTATTATTCACTTTTTAAATCTTCACTTTTGACAGAACCATCCATAAGTTTCGAGTGCTAGAGAGTGACTAAATAGCCTTTAAATACCTTTTCCTTATCTCTGAAAGTGGAATATAAATGAGACATTTTTTGCTGCTTATAAAGCAGCCCAGACTTGTTACCTCTGTGGGGAATTAACTGCACACCTGCTGGGGGTTTCACTCAAAGGGACCAGGAAATCATCATCCCTTCATTTCTAATATATATTTTTTAATGTTTTTTACTCCATGAGGCTGCTGCCCGGAGCTGAGCTGGCTGTGCACCAGCAAACCTCCAGGAAGGATCCTTCACCAAGACTAGGATATGAATAGCACCCCCAAGAATTGTGGGAAAAGACAACCCTATTACCTGTGCTCATTGCCCCAGAACAAACAGTGAAATTATTACAAAATGTATTATTACATCATCCATGTCCTGCTTTATACGGTGAGTGACACAAACAAACCTGGACACACATGGAACAATTCTCAGGGCAATTGTTCTGAAAAACAGGATACTTTTTCCATTGATCAAATGGAAACAGTGAGGAGCAACGTGATTCATTTTGAGGATAATCCTCATACCTTTTATTTCTTTCAAAGGTTACACATAAAGTCGGGCACTGCTTAATGACAGGGATGTGTTCTTTGAAATGCATCACTACATGATTTTGTCCTTGTGGGAACATCTTAGAGTGTACTTACACAAACCTAGATGGTATATCTCATTACACACCTAGGCCACATGGTGTAGCCTATGGCTGCCCAGCTAAAAACCCGTACAACATGCTACTTTGCTGAATACGGTAGATGATTGTCACACAGTGGTATTTGTGTATATCTAAGATAGAAAATGTACAGTAAAAATATGGTACTAAAAAAATGGTCCACCTTTTTAGGGCACTTACTATGAATGGAGCTTGAAGGACCGGAAGTTACTCTGGGTGAGTCAGTGAGTGAGTGGTGAGTGAATGTGAAGGCCTAGGACATTACTGTACACTACTGTAGACTATAAACACTGAACATATAGACCACACCAAACTTATTTAAAAATAAAGTAATTGCACTGACCATGTCACTAGGCCACAGGAATTTTCCAGCTCCATTATAATCTTATAGAGTCACCATGATATATGTAGTTCATCATCGACAAAAATATCATTATGCAGTGTGTGACTGTATTTCAAATGAATCTTCTCAGACTGCTTTCAGGATTCCTATGTAGAAGTTACAGAATGACTATATCTCTTGTTAATTCACCACTGCTGTAAAAAGAGAATCACCTAGCTTGCCACAAAAATTCTTTGGCGATTGTTACAAAACAGACTTTCCTGAAATCATGTGGTATTCAAGAAGCTCTTTGTAGCAAAGGAATAGATAAGACAAAAGCACATGTGGAAGGCAGATACACCTCGCTAATGGAACAGGCATCTTGCTGGACTGTGGGGGGAGGAGTGTGTTACTGAAGGAGGAGCTTTCATCAGGAAGTAGTCGTCCCTCATTATCCATAAGGGATTGGTTCCAGGAACCCCAGGGATACCAAAATCCTCAGATGCTCAAGTCCCTGATATAAAAGGGGGCAGTATTTGCATAGAATCTATGCATATCTTCCTGTATACTTTAAATCATTTCTACATTACTTATAATATCAAATATAATGTAAATGTTATGCAAATAGTTAACTTATATTGTTTAGGGAATATATTTCCCTAACTTTTTTTCAACAAGGAAAAAAGTATGTACATATGTACTACAGATGCATTTTTTTTCACCGAATATTTTCAATCCTTGGTTGGTTGAATCTACAGATGCAGAACCCATGGATACAAAGTGTTGACTGTATGGCATTCAAAGGGATACAGAGAAAAGAGAGAAGTAGAACATACTGATAGAGGTTAGAAGATTATTTTAAAGAAAGACCAGAAGAGTGGACAACTAGCAACTTCTTTAGGAAGAGCCAGACTGCCTGTGAAGGTATAAATTTAACCTGAAGCCAACTGGAATCTTGAGACTCAGGAAGAAAAGAACCTGTGTTCTTAATCACATGCAAGACAGACAGGTTCCAAGTCATTACTAGAAGGCTATTGGGCAGGCAGGGAGGCTGGAAGACCTGGCTTGCAAGATGAACTTGAAGGCTGTACATCAGATGCAGAGTCAAGACCACAGAAGCAGAGTGGCTAGAATGATGTCACCAGCACCAGTGGCCTGCTCGCTCAGTGCTGCTTGGGCTGTGCTCTTGGTGTCCCCATTTCTACTGGGCGTATTAGGGCCCAATACCTGTGTTTTGTGCGAGTTGCTTAAGAATCACTATCCCAGAAGAAAACATCCAATGGGCTAACCACAGACTATGAGAACATGTTCTAGCTTCCAGGGGACAGCAAAAGAGAGAAATGGAGTCTTTGGGCATCGGTACAGAGAGGTAGGCCTCTGCCTTCTGCCAAGACTTTCAATCAAGAATCTCCCAGAGAAGGAGAGGTGTTTGGTTGCTGGATGTCCTCAACAAACAAATGAGCAACAAACCAATACCCATAAAGACCTGCACTATTTTGTAGAAAAATAGGAGACGTGAGCAACTTATCAATGTCAAAGAGTGTATATGTAGACCATGGCCTTGAATGTCCATGATCTCTGTATAGCAGCACAGGACAATTAACAATGAGATAATTAACAAGAGACAATTAACAATGGTCTGTTAATGGTATAGACCTCTTACCCCTATACCGATAGTTTGTGGCCTTGATCTCCTGGTACCATAGGGTACACAGGGAGGAAGAAATATTGCCTAAGGAAGTAATTAGAAAGGATGGGGGACTTGAGATGTGAATTTTCATTCTCCCTCATGGTAGCAATGGAAAGTTACTCAGAGAAACAGCAGTGACCACCAGGTTGAGCTGGTCCTCTGTTAGCCATTCTGTTTTGCCAGAACCCATCCAATCACAGTAATGGTCAGAAAGGGAACTAAAGAATCATAGCTTCTGGAACTTCCTGATATCTTGTCATCATGAAGACCACATACATTTTAGGTGAGAGGATCCCTTTTTGACTTCACGGACTTTAGTGTGTGGAGGAAAAACCTTGTTCTTCGTGTACTCTATTGTTTTGGGCAAAAGTAGAGGAAAGAGAAGCTTGCCCGTTTCTATTTCTTTCTTTCAGATTCCTTCTTTCTTCTTCCTTCTCCCCATCTTCCTCATTCCCCTCTCCTCTGTGGTAACATAGCACTCAGGTACATTAGCCTGGAAGGTTCAGTTGAAGCTGTGCATCTTGTTTTTGCCGTCTAATTCATGCCCAGATATCATGACATTACCATTTACATTCTAGTGACATTTCCTTCTCAATTTCCTTTATAAATAAGGCTTGTGTAAAGCACGTGTATTCACAGGACTAAGTCTGTGCAACATGGGTCCCATAAGAGGCTCTCTACTGCACATCCACTGCATATACATATCGTTTTAAGCTTTATCTGGTTGCCTGTTTGGCAAGATCTCTCAGCTTGCAGAGATTTGTGAAGGAAGGATTTACCCTGAATGTGAAAAGAGTTGAGATGCACACACCTTATTCAAAAATAAGGTTGTCATGGGGAGAAACCGGTTCTGAGACCACTAGTGCACAGACTGTTTAGACTCTCCTACAGCATGTGACACTCGATGAACGTTTGAAGCCCTCTTCTCCCTGGGCTTCCAGGCCCAGCTTACCTGGATCCATGTGTGCACTTCTGACCTTTGCAACTCATTCTCCTTTATGGACTCTCCAAGTTCCTTAATGTCCTAAGTATGCAATGGGTCTGCACCGCCAGAACCATTTATAAATCTGGCTGTGGCTGAGGTTTGTTCACTTCAGCCTCCGTGTTAGGCTTTAGAGGTAGATTTCGTAGTATCCTTCCTTAGAGATAAAAATAAATACATATTTGATTTGTTTCTATCCACGGATAGAAACAGAAATGGGCAAGCTTCTCTTTCCTCTGCTTTTGCCCAAAACAACAGAGTACACAAAGGACAAGGTTTTCCCTCCACACACTAAAATGCAATTGTTTCTTCAAATTATTCAGATCTCAGAAAGGGAACAGCAGACTCTTTAATGGCACTGCTCCTCAGAAGAGCCCTGTACTGGGTGGTGAAACCACTGACTGGCAGTATGCATTATTCATCAGGTCTGGAGAGAGCCTAATCATCCGTTCTGTTGTTAATGGCCTGTAAATAGTTGCTTTTGACAAGAACATTTAACACCGGCAAGAACAGAGTCAGAGGAGGGAGGAGAGCTCAGAACTTGAAATAATAGAGTTGAGAAACAGTCTGGAGCATACTTATTATGGCAGCTGGAAGCTGGTGCTGGAAAGACAGCCTTTCAGCTTAACGCTCATGGCAGATCAGGTGTCTGGGTGTCCTTGAAGAGCACAGGGAGAACTAATCAAACCACAAGTAGAAAATGAGAATGTCTACAACGATGCCTGGTGGGGGACAGGTGTAAAAACCACCAGCCTTCATCTCGCACTGACTCTGAGCCCAACCCTCCCTCTCTGCTCCTCTCTCCCTCTCATCTCCCTTGAGCTCCTATAAAGTAGACTTTTTCCTTTCAAATTTTCCTGTAACCTCCAGCACTCCAACTATGTACAGTAGGATGCAGAGGTCTGAGACCTAGGTTTGCTCCAGAGCCATCGCTGGTCAGCGCGTGTCAGAAAAGTGTTTCAGAGCCTCAGCTTTCATTTTTGGTCAGGGGATTAAATAATACCTACCTTTCGAGATGATCATAAGGCCTAAATGGGAAAAAGCAGGTGAATTTTCTGATACAGTGTCCAGAAAATATTCAGTTCTTAATAAGTGTTCATTTCCTTGCCCTTTTCTCTCATCTTAACAATTACAGCACCTGTCTGAGGTGTGCAGTGAAGGTCAGAGGCGATGATGTTTGAGAGCAACAGAGCATTTGTTTAGGCAAAGTAGGTTATTTTTTATGATAAGAATAGACATTTGTTAGAAACAGAGTTCTCTACATTGGTTTCTCTGAAATCGCAAAAAGACGATGACTGGATATATGGAATTAACACGTGGCATGCAAAGTCCTGGTTAGAAACAGAAAGTAACCAGCATTCTCCGGGGCATTGTCGGTTTGTAGAGCATTGGCATGGAATCATCCATGCTTCCCTGGTGTGTGACTCCTGCCTAGAGGTGGCAGGACCTCCAACTCCCAGGCCTTTCTCGCCATTTCTGGGAGGTCCTCAGATTGCTGCACATGTATGCACAAATCTTCCATGGTCTGCCACAGGCCTCTTGCTGATGTCACTTCCTGAGATCCTAGGATCTTTCTTGAGAAAACTGACCTCTGTGCCAGAGGTGCCGTTGCTTGGATCTCCCAAAGTCACCAACCCAAACAGCTATTCCTCCCCTTTGGTTATCGCCGTACCAGAGACAAACTATGTTCCAAGAAGAAGAGAGAATACTGCCTTCTCAACTCTATGTCACATTCTCTCATCTGGACCCACAGCAGGTCCCAAGTCTCACAGGGTCCCTAGGGAAAAATGTTTCACCTTCGTCTCCTGCCCACCTTGGCTTCCTGCAAAGGCTCAACCTCTATCCAAGGAGATCTTCCTGAAAATAGACAGAGTCCAGGGCTCTGCACCTCCCCAGCACTGCCCCACCCACTCCCCATAGCTTTGCCTTCAAGCTTTTACGAATAACGTTCCTTGTAGGGTCTCCCCTCCCCACTGTACACACACACCATTAAACCAATCCATGCAGATAGTGCCTACAGATTAACCGTGCTACCGGCTCACAAATATCCAAACACGATTCGGCAGCTACAACCACAACACCACAACACACACACACACACACACACACACACACACGCTTGATTTAAACCCATGTCAACAATTGATTCATATCCACTGTCACCCCTCCCCCAGGAGATTCTTCCTCTATTAGCCCATTTTCACCTTATTTGCTATTAAACTGTCATTCAGGTGAAGTGTCTCTCTCTTTCCCTACAATGAAGACTGGTCTGTTTCAAATAAAGCAAAGTTAAATCTATGTGTAATTTATTTTCAAAACGATAGCTACTTAGCACTCCTCACTTACTATTGGCTTCACAGGTGCCAGATATAGATGCATTAAAACTACTTCATTCAGTTCCTTAGCATTAGGGGATCATCTTAATATGTAGTGCCTAGGACAGTCCAGACCTACAAAAAAAAGACAGCCAATCTGCTACTCCTAATTTACATCTTTTTCAGCTAAACCAAGCAAAAACGGGCTTGGTGCCTACTTGACTCAGAGAATTGCAATATCATGGACCTGGCAACCAAAGCTAATTGGAGCTGAATGGTTCCCTAGGGAGATAGAACCAAGGGAAAAATCAAAAAGCAAAAATTGTAGAATTTAGATCCATCTGCTTAATCACCAGTTCTAGTTCCTTGGTGCATGAAAGTAATAGACACCTCGTGGTATTCATGTATTTATTTGTATTCACTGCTTTATCTCTCTTCATCTACGTTAGATGTCGGCTCACAATTTCTTCTCTTGCAATACCTGCACTGTGAGAAAGCCTTATTGCAGGCATCCCCTTTCAAGGTTGCATCAGATCATTTAAATGAAAAACACTCCATAAAAACAGAGGTTGTGTTCTGCACAAATACTTTTCTCCAAACAGTTTACATTTTGCTCATTATGATACCTTCAGGTTCAGTAATTGGAGGACAAATGCTTTTTTAAAAAAAGGGAGATTCTTGGCTGGGCGCGGTGGCTCACACCTGTAATCCCAGCACTTCGGGAAGCCGAGGCGGGTGGATCACGAGGTGAAGAGCTTGAGACCATCCTGGTCAACATGGTGAAACCCCGTCTCTACTAAAAATACAAAAATTGGCTGGGCATGGTGGTGTGTAGTTCCAGCTATTTGGGAGGCTGAGGCGGGAGAATCACTTGAACCCAGGAGGCAGAGGTTGCAGTGAGCCAAGATCGTGCCACTGTACTCCACCTGGTGACAGAGCAAGTCTCCGTCTCAAAAATAAATCAATAAATAATACAACAAACATTTTTAAAAGGAAGATTCTTAATCAGCCTTTCAGATAGAAAATTTGCCTCTGGAAGGGTTTTACAATAAAAATAATAACGAGTTCTGAGATGGGAAAGATGAATGTGCTTATTTGACCTTCTCTTTGAAGCAAAATGCTATTTAATTTCTTCTGACTCTCAAATATTGTGCTTGTGTCCTTGGCCTTCATAAAC